>NC_000021.9:6211371-6377258 GCF_000001405.40 Homo sapiens | reverse complement strand
GATCTCTGCTCACAGGAGCCATTGTGACATATCCCTGGGCCCAGAAACTATTTAACACGACTATCTTCAATGACCTTAACTTGGTGCCTGGGATAAGTTGTGACATATCTCTGGATCCAGCACCTAGGTGATGCGACTCTCCTTTTCTGCATGGGCTATGCTTACAAGAAGTAGGCTGACTTATTGCTGTGTTGACAACTGATGTGATACCTCTGTTCTTGTCTTCTTAGTTTTTAAGAATTTAAACAAGAGACACAAGGAAAAAAAGTACAGCATAATTTATTGGAAAAGAAAATATTTGAAAGTTAAGTGCAGAATACAGTACACCCTGAGAGAGATACTCCAGGGCGGACTGCTCGTAAGAGTGAGACAGCGTGGATTGTCGCTGGAGAAACCCCCTTACGGGAGTTTTACATTATTATTAATAAGAAAAGGGGAAGAGGAGTTGCTTATAAGCATGTTCTGAGTGATATTCTGGGTGCACATACGCAGTGACTATACATGCTTGTTCATATGTTGCATGTCTCGTTAGCATCTTAGATCTCCACCCAGGAGTGTATTTCTGTTTGTTTGTTTGTTTGTTTGAGACAGAGTCTCCCCATGTTGCCCAGGCTGGAGTGCAGTGGTGTGATCTCTGCTCACTGCAACCTCCACCTCCTGAGTTCAAGCCATGCTCATGCCTCTGCCTCCAGAGTATCTGGGATTACAGGCATGCACCACCATACCCTGCTAATTTTTGTATTTTTAGTTGAGACGGGATTTCACTATGTTGGCCAGTCTAGTCTCAAGCTTCTGGTTTGAAGTGATCCATCTTCCTCAGCCTCCCAAAGTGCTGGGAGTACAGGTATGAGCCACCTTGCCTGGCTAGGGCCTATATTTTTTGCTATTAAAATAAGCGAAAGTTAAGTTTGAGGACAGGTGAAATCAAAATGTACATGCTTTCTAGAACAGAAAGTCCTTAATGAGGATAACTTTGCTTGAATAAGCCCAATTACAATGCGAATGCTACGGCTTATTGTGTCGGCTGTACAGTCACCATGGTTTCTGTATCCTGAGATCATGGTCATTTTCTGTACTATCTATTCTGCCTCAATTTCCCCCTAAGAGATTTTAGGGCAATAATCATATTGGAGGTTGAGGGGTTAGGCCATTATTTCTGGAGCTGTTTCCTGCTGAGCGGGTGTTACTTCTGCCTAGCCTGGGCCTTAAAGTTTCTTCCTGTGTGATCTAACAGGGTGTAAACCATGTCGTTCGTGGAACCAGTGGGAAGATGTTGGCAACCAAAGGTTGAAAGCCTTGCAAAACCATCATGCAAACATGGAGTTGCCGTAAGCAAGAGAGCAAGAAATCAGTTAACATTTTAAACAAAATTGGAACAAAAGTAAAAGTTGAAAATATAATAATGACGGGTACTATTAAAGAGAGCAAGGCAGACAATGGACATAGCTTTCATATTCCCATGGAAGTTCCTAGAGATTCAATTTTGTCTGCCTGGGTGATGATATTATTAATATTTTCTTCGACTAAACCAGACTGATTGATCTCAAAAACAGCATTCTTCTTTTAGATATAAACATGTTCCTCTTTACCCGGCTGGGAGAAGATCCCAGGCTCCTTGGTTTTGTCGGACTACAGTGGCCATGGAGTCCAGATGTTGTTGAAGTCTATTGAGGCCCTCTGCTGCCTGTTGGGGACACACTGAGATTTTCTGAGATAGTTTATACTGGATTCCCAAGGATCCACCTTATGGTGACATTTGTGCTGCAAAGGAATTCTGCATTGAAATGGTGAAAGCAGCAAAAGTTTTAAGTCTTTTCTATTTTTTGCCAATAAGCAAAAGTTTTCTGCAGCTACGTGGTCAGCAGTCATTGGGTCCATTTATGGATGGTGAAGTTGAATGGTGGTCAAAGTTAGAGCCTGGAAGGCTTCAGTAAATGCGCTGAAGTTCTTTGGGAGCCATCAGAGCTGTTGCTTGCATTGGATTAGATCATTTATTGAGAAGAGAACAAGCACTCTGATGGTCCTCTCTCCATTTGGGACTTTCTGTAAGGGGATCAAATTCTCTGGCCCTGCATGGGGTGAAGTTCCACCGCGAGTAACTACAGCTGGGCTGGTCACTATTATACCTGGCAAAGGCTGATAGAGAGGAGCATAAGGAGGAGGTGAAACAAGCTTAGATTCTACAGAAGACTCTGATAGTGTGGGGATGCTGCGGATTCTACAGGAGGTGTAGGCCCCTGAGGGTCCCTATCTGGAGCTGGTGTTGGCCTGTTGGGTCTGGGGTCCCTTCCCATTAATAAGAGATGATCTTCTAATGCTTCTGAGGGGCTTTGTGGCTTACTAGGCTTTAGCCCACAGGTGCTGCATAGAGCTGGGTTTTGTTGTCAGGCCATAAAGGTTTGCACATAGGATATTTCAGACCATTTTCCCTGATTTCTACAGAAAAGATCTAGCTGTAGGAGGGTGTTAAAGTTCACAGTCTCATTCCCCAGCCATGTTTTGTGAGCTAATCTGTATGCAAGCTAAATAGTATTACAAAAGAAGATAAGTTTTTTCTTTTCTTTTTTTTTTTTTTGGTTCATCTAGCCAAAAGCTGTTTCAATTTTTAAATATACATCCCAGGGGTGTTTCAATGACAGTAGAGGAAGCGGCTCCCACGGTGCCGACAGAATCTTGCAACGTCAGAATATGTACTAAAGTCCAGGAGGCCATGGGCATCACAATGGGACAAGTGGAACCACCAAGGTGTCCAGCACAGCCCCGCGAGACCCCATTAACTGAAGCTCTAGGAGGTCATAGGCATGTGCCATACACCATCCTATCTCTCACCAGCGCTGCACATCTCCAGCCCTGCCGAGATGACCCCCACTGCTGGCTGGGGGGCAGATGTCTGGCTGACAAGCCTTTCCCTAATTTACTGGTTTGCAATTTATGATGCCGAATTATAACACCTGCAATGCTCAGATTCAAACCCCACGACCGGGCATCTACATGACTTTGAGTCGTTTGTTCAGCAAAGAAAACCTGTTGAAGAACAATTTCAAGGAGGTGGGAAATGCATAAAGCCTGAAGGGACAGGGTTCTCTTAATATTCCACTCAAAACAAAACAAGACAAAACTGTAAACAGAAAACCCGATCAGAAAATAAAGTACAATAGCCACTAGGTGGCGATCGAGTATTGCCGAAGGGACAGCAAACGATAAGCTGAGTCTGAAGTGTGGCCAGAAAGATGTGAAACTAAGCAGCAAACTAGCCCGAATATGAAATGTTGAGAGCAACCCATGCGGTGAGTGTCATTTATGGATAGTACAGATGCAGCAGCCAAAAGGAGAGCAGACATATATTCTCTCTCTAGAGAATATAGGTGATTTAAACACGTTTCCCCCAGAACTTTAGTGAAACAGCGCTGGAACAACCAGCGATAGTTAACCAGGTAGTCTGGAAGTGCCATAGTATTCACTGCAAGAAAAGGGAAACTGAAATTAATGAAGCAGACAAACCTCTCTCCGGGCCATGGCAAAAGAAATGTTGATGGCTGATGTAATACCTTGGTTCTTATCTTCTTAGCTTAAAAGAATTTAAACAGGAAACATGCAGCAAAAGAAGTACAGCATAGAGTAATTTATTGCACACAAAAAAGAAAAGAATACGTTGAAAATCAAGTGCAGAATAGACGGTACAGTCTGAGAAAGAGATTCCAGGGCAGCCTGCTCATAAGAGTGAGACAGCATTAATTGTTGCTGGAGAAACCCTCTTTCTGGGAGTTTTACATGATTATTCATAAGAAGGTGGAAAGAAGTGTTATAGAAGGCATGCTTTGAGTGGTCTTCTGGGTGCACATGTGCAGTAGCTGTACATATTTTTGCATATGTTTCATGTCTCATTAGCATGCAATGACATTTCACCCAGGAATGTGTTTTTACTTGTTAAAATGAGCAAAGGTTCAGCTTGAAGACAGATAAAATCAAAATGCACATGCTCTCTAGACGTAAAAGTCCCTACTGAAGATAGTGGGTTTCAAACGACCCCAAGTGCTCCACAACTTAAAAGTCGCTCCCACGAACCTGGAACACTATCTGTTCCTGAGGGATCAGGTCCCATTTGTGTCTCTGAGACACTGGCAAGTGAGGCACGACTTGGGATGAGACCGATGATTTTAATTGTAAAATGCCTAAATAGCAGCTTCAGGTTACATTTTGGAGCTTGTCCACTTAAATGGGTTGATGAAAATGGCTCACAAAACTCACGCCTTGGAAAGCGGGTTTTCTCCCTTGCTCTTAGATTTTCTGCAACCCATTAAACTAACTTCCTGATGCCTCGACTTTCACATTCGTGAAAAAGGCGCCATTGAGAGTGACGTTTCCAGGAAGGCTCAGCCCTTGTCAGCCCCTGCAGAGCTCTGAAGCTGTTCACAAGCAGGCCATGTGGAAGATTTCTCTCAAAAGCCATTGAGCACGCGCTCTGGCTAGAGAAAAAAGAGGGCTGCTGCACAATGGACAGTGTCTCAGACATCAGGACAGTTTCCACAGTAGTTTAGGAAAAAAGGCAGTGCCCTGAGCTGCAGAAGGTGCAATGCTCTGGAAGGAACCCTGGGTGCAGCTGAAAGAGGAACCTGAGAAGCATAGGGCCAATCGGGTGAGGATAACCCGCCTGATTTGGGCAAAGGTAAGGTGCCTACATAGGGTAATACCCTCCTCAATGCTCAGCCCAGACCTGTCCTCCAGGTCCACCTCTGTACTCACTCTCTGTGGCAAAGAGTCGGCATAGCATAAGAACTCAGCAATGCTTTGGACACTGGGAAGTCCACACCGCTCTGTCCCTCCCTCCAGGTCTATGCACCCCGGATCCCGGTATATGCTGAGATTATGGTTCTGAAGCCCACCGACAAATAGGCTGAGAGCAGTTAACGGACTACAGCTCCCAGCATATTAGGTGGGGCATGTACAACTTTGCCCCTTCTTCCAGGGCTATGCCTTACCCCGGAGACTGGCGCATGCTGGGATTGTAGTCCTGTAGCCATTTGACCAAAGGGCTGGGAGTGTTTATGAGAATACAACTCCCAGCAATCCTAGGGAGGAGCACACAGCCCCGCCTCTTCCCCCAGTGATACGCATTGTCCCTGAGACAGGTGCATGCTAAGATTGTAGTCCTGAAGCTCTGCGACCAAAGGGCTGGGAGTGTTTATGAGCATATATCTCCCAGCAAGCCTAGGAAGACGCACACAGCCCCGCCTCTTTTTCCACTGACGCGGACTGTCCCTGACCCCAGTGCATACTGGGATGGTAGTCCTGCATCCCTGTGATGAAAGTTCTGGGAGTCTCTATGAAACTACCTCTCCCAGGAAGCAGAAGGAGGGGTCCACAGCCTAGCCTTTTCCTCCAGTAATGCGCACTGTCCCTGAGCTGGGTGCATGCTGGGATTGTAGTCCTGCAGCCCGGTGATGAAAGGTCTGGGAGTGTTTATGAGACTACATCTCCTACCAAGCCCAGGAGGTGCACACAACCCTGCCTCTTTCTCCAGTGACGCCAACTTTCCCTGAGCCCGGTGCATGCTAGGATTGTAGCGCTGCAGCCCTGTGACAAAAGGGCTGTGAGTGTTTATGAGACTGCATCTTCCACCAAGCCCAGAGAGGCGTGCAGAGCCTCGCCCCTTCCTCCACTGATTAGCGCATGCTCCCTCAGTCCCATGCATGCTAGGATTGTAGTGCTGCAGCCCTGTGACCAAAGGGCAGCCCAGTGACCAAAGGGCTAAGAGTGTGTGAGAATACATCTCCGAAAAAGCATAGCGAGAAGAGCACAGGTCCACTTCTTCCTCCACTGAGGCGCGCTCTCCCTGAGCACGGTGCATGCTGGGATTGTAGTCCTGAAGCCCTGTGACAAAAGGGCTGGGAGAAATAATGAGACTACATCTCCCAGAAAGCCCAGCGAGACGCATGTACCCCTTTCTCTTCCTCCATTGAGGCGAACTGTCCCGGTGCCCCGTGCATGCTGGAATTGTAGTCCTACAGCTATGTGATGAAAGGGCTGGGATTGGTTATCAGAATGCATCTCCCAGCAAGCCCAGCGAGGCACGCACAGCTCCACGTCTTCCTCCAGGGACACACACACACACACACACACACACACACACACACACACACACACACACACAGTCCCTGAACTCGCTGCATGCTGGGATTGTAGTCCTGCAGCCCTGTGACCAAAGGGCCAAGAGTGTTTATGAGACTACATCTCCCAGAAAACGTAGGGAGAGGCACACAGTCCCACATCTTTTCCCAGTGACGCATACTGTTTTTGATCCTGATACATACTGGGATTGTAGTCCTGCAGCCCTATGACAAAAGGTCTGAGAGGCTTTATGAAACTACATTTCCCAAGAAGCGCAGCGAGGTGCGCAGAACCTTCCCATCCTTATCCAGTGAAGGGGAATGTCCGTGAGCCCCAAGCATGCTGGGATTGTAGTCTTATAGCACTGTGAGCCAAGGGTAGGGAGAGGACACGAGACTACATCTCCGAGAAAACCTAGGGAGACGCACACAGCCCCACATCTTTTCCCAGTGACGCATGCTGTTTTTGATCCTGATGCATTCTGGGATTGGAGTCCTGCAGTCCCGTGACAAAAGGTCTCAGAGTCTTTATGAAACTACATTTCCTAGCAAGTGCAGCGAGGTGCACACAACCTTCCCCTCATTCTCCAGTGATGTAGACTGTCCGTGAGCCCCAAGCATGCTGGGATTGTAGTCTTATAGCACCGTGACCAAAGGACAGGGAGAGGCCATGAGACTACAACTCTCAGGAAACCCAGCAAGGCGCACACTGCCCGGCCTCTTTCTCCTTAGACTAGCGCACTGTCACTGAGCTGGGTGCATACTAGGAATGTATTCCTGCAGCCCTGTGAGCAAAGAGCTGGGAGTGTTTATGAGAATACATCTCCCAGTACTCCCAGGAGGTGCACACAGCCCTGCCTCTTCCTGCAGTGACTAGCGCACTGTCCCTGAGCTGGGTGCATGCTGGGATTGCAGTCCTTGGCGATCTATGACCAAAGGGCTAGGAGTGTTAATGAGACTACATCTCCCAAAAAAGCAGAGTGAGAAGCGCACAGCCCTCCCTCTTCCTCCAGTGACGTGTGCTGTCCCTGAGCCCAGTGCATGCTGGGGCTGGAAGTGTAGTCCTTCAGCCCTGTGATGATAGGGCTGCGAGGATTTATGAGAATACATCTCCCAGCAAGCCCAGCGAGTAACAAACAACCCCGCCTCTTCCTCCAGTGACGCGCAATTTCCTTGAGCCCGGTGCTGGCTGGGAGTGTAGTCCTGCAGCCCTGTGACCAAAGGTTTGGGAGTATTTATGAGAATACATATCCCACCAAGCCCAGCGAGACGTGTACAATCCCTCCTCATCCTCCAGTAACGCGCACTATCCTTGATCTTGGTGCATACTGGGATTGTAGTTCTGCGGCCCTGTAATGAAAGGTCTGGTGACTTTATGAAACTACATCTCCCAGCAAGCCAAAGGAGGCACACAAAGCTTTGCCTCTTCATCCAGGCACACGCACTATCCCTGATCCCGGTGCATGATGGAAATGTAGTCCTTCAGCCCTGTGACCAAAGGGCTGGGAGTGTTTATGAGACCGCATCTCTCAGCAACTAAAGCAAGGCCTGCACAGCCCCGCCTTTTCCTCCAGTGACGCTCACTGTTCACTAAGGAGTGTTCATGAGATTACATTTTCCATCAAGCCCAGCGAGTTATGCACAGCTCTACCTCTTCTTCTAGCGACGCGCACTGTCCCTGATTCCGTTGTATGCTGGGATTGTGGTGCTGCAGCCCTGTGACAAAGGGGCTGGGAGTCTTTATAAGACTACATCTCCCAGCAAGCCCAAGAGGCTCTCACAGCCATGCACCACCCCCTCCCGCCCCACTTTTCCTTCAGTGACGCGCACTGTTCCCTGAACATGGTGCATACTGGAATTCTCCTGTTGCGGGATTCAGGAGGACGAGACAGACCTCAGGTTGAAACAGGAGAATCTTTATTGAGTGCACTCAGGACCAGCTGACTCACGTCAAAAAGACCGGGCCCGGAACACAGACAACACCTGACTTTTATACACACTTCACAAAAGGTGGTGGGCTAGCTTGAAGCGAGCTTACAGTGGCGTGAAAGCAGGAATACAGAGGCAGGACAAAGACAGGATTGCACATGACCGTTGCCAAGCAACCCACATGTCCATTATCTAGGTTTCCCTGGGCATGGGCTTATCCTATAACCCTCACTATGGTTCCCAAACAGCTGTAGTTCAGCCTACTCAGGCTTCTCATGACTTTCATTGTACTTCTTCGATAAAACACAATACTTGAAGTCACTAGTTACAGAGAACAAGAATCTATAAACTCATTCCATAAAACAAAGGGAATTTGTTTTTCTTTTCCCTGTGTTGGGGGAGTGTTGGGAGAACCTCCAGAGCACATTACATAATATTATCAAGAATTTTCCTGGGTCTGGGCTGTGCCTATTGCTGCCTCTGGGACAAATCAGCCTAATACAAGAAAACTTATTTCTCTTTCCTTTTAATTTCATTTTTCTTTAATTTCCTTCCTTAGTCCTGCAGCCCTGTGACCAAAGGACTGGGAGTGCACAGTTACACATCTGTTCACTTGTCATGAGACTGTTTTCCTTTAACCCCATGAACATACTTACCATAGCTTCTTTCAAATCTTACCTACCGATTACAGCATCTTGCACATCTTGAGAATAGGTTCTATTGTCTGCTTTTTATCTTGTGAATCGATTACATTTTCATCCTTCTTCACGCATCTCATAAATTTTTAAATTGTGTGATAGGAATTACAGGGACTCTGGCTTCTGTTGTATTTCTTTGAAAATTATTATTTTATGAGGGAGTTAATTTGAATAGATGCAAACCCCAATCCTTATCTCTTCTACAGTGGCAATACTAAAATCTTCATTCAGTTCTTCTAAACAGTGTGCCTTTCTATATAGCAAAATATAGTATTTTATTAAACTTTATTATAGTATATGTGAAACAGTTATTGAACAATCTACTCTACTTCATTATTACTGGAAGCCAGAACCTCAGTTGTGTTCACTTTCTGGATTTTATATAAGTGAAATTGTACAACATGTATACTTTTACATCTACTTTCTTCTATGCAACTTTATATTTATGATATTAATTCATCCTATTGCAGATAGCTATAGTTTGTTTATTTAAAAAATATTTTTTATATTGTGGCAAAGTATACATAAAATTAACCATTTTAGCTATTTTAAGTGTGCAGCTCAGAAAAATTAACTACACTCACATTGTTTTGCAACTATTATTCTCATTCATAGGGACCTTCTTTCAACTTCCAAAACCAAAATTTAATGCACATTAAATAACAGCTCCCTGTTACTCCCCCTCCAGCTCCTAGGAACCACTCTTCTACTTGGATTTCTAGAATTTAACTACTCTAAGTATCTCATAAGTGGAATGATACAGTATTTGTCCTTTTATGACTGGCTTATGTCACTTTGCACAATGTCCTTAAGGTTCATGCATAACGTACCATGTGTCAGAATTTTCTTATTTTACATAACTGAATAACGTTCCAATATATGTATAAATCACATTTTATTTATTTATTCATTGATGATAATTCAAACAACACGGGTAATTCACAAACCTTTTGGGTGATGTGAGTAATGCTGCCATGAGCCTAGGTGTACGTGTATTATTTTGTGTCTTTGCTTTCACATCTTTTGCTACATACCCAGATGTGAAATTGTGGGATCATATGGTGACTTTTGGTGTACATTTTTTAGTTATTATACTGTTATTTTATAGCAGCTGCAACATTTTACATTTCCAACAACAGTGTACAAGGGTTCTAATTGCTCCACGTCCTCACCAACACTTGTGATTTTCTGTTTTGTTTTGTTTCTTTTGGTAGTAACTATGCTGATGTGTATTAAGTGATATATCATTTGGAGTTATATTTGCATTTTACTAATGATTAGTTTTGTTGAGCACCTTTTCATGGACTTATTAGCCATTTCACATAATTTTTAAAGAAATGTCTAAGTATTTTGCCCATATTTTAAACAAGTATTTTGTTTTATTATTGCTGAATTGTTCTTTGTATATTCTGGATAGAGTCCTCTTTATTTTTCTTTTGTTTCTTGCATTTTTTGTGTCCTGTTAAAAAAAATCACTGCGAAATCCAGCGTTATGACATGTTTTACCTACATTTTATACTAAGAATTTTGTAGTTTTAGCTCTTACATTTAGGTTTTTGTCGAGTTAGTTAATTTTTTCTTATGGTATAAGTTAAGGGAACAGTTTCACTCTTTTACATGTAGGTACCCAATTTCCCCAGCACTAACTGTTGTAAAGGCAGTTCATTTCCCATAAAAATCATTTGACCATATATATGAGGGTTTATTTATATTGGCTTTCTATATTACTCCATTAGTCTATTTGTAGCATGCTATTTTGGAATTTTGTAGTAAGTTTTGAAATCATTAAGTGTGACTTCTCTAACTTTGGTATTTTTTTTTCAAAATTATTTTTGCAATTTAGGGTCCCTTGAGATTCCTCATAAACTTAAAAATTGATTTTTTAATATCTACACAAAATAATTGGCATTTTGCTTCTTGGTTACTTCCTAATTTTATTCTTTTGATGCTATTGTAAATTGAGTTGTTTTCATAATTTTCTTCTCAGATCATTCGTATTACTACATAAAATACAGTTTATTTTTCTATGTTGATTTTGTATGCTACTACTCTGCTGAATTTATTAATTTTAATATTTTTTGTGTGGAATCTTTAAGATTTTCTACATAAAAGAATATATTTTCTGTACACACTTTGATGAAGTTTATTTCATTGTCTTTTTTAATTTCTCTGAATGAAACTTCTAATACAGTGTTGAATAAAAGTGGCTGGCAAGAGCAGACATTCTGTCTTCTGAGCTTAGACGAAATAATTTTGGTCTTTTCCTCTAGAACATGTAGTTTGCTGTGGGTTTTTATACGTGAATTTTACAAAGATGGTTTTCTTTTATTCGTAATTTATTGTTTTTATTATAAAATATTTTGAATTTTGTAAAATACATTTTCTGTATTAATGAGATAATGTTTTCTAAAAATTTTGTTAATGTGTCATATGCATTGATTATTTTTCATATGCTAAAACTTTTGTTAAGAAAGGCTAGCTAAGTGAACCAGTGAGACTGGAAAAAGAATAAAGAAATCTATTCTGGTTGTGATCAATTAGTTGTAAACACCATTGCACTGAAACCAGCCATACGCTAAATCTTCCTTACATTCCAGTAATAAATTCCCCTTGGTCATGGGGTGTAATCTTGCTAGTATGCTGCTGAATGTGGTTAGCTAGGATGTTGCTGAGTAGTTTTGCATCCGTGTTCATAAGGGATATTAGTCTATGGGTTTTTGTAGTCTCTTTGGCTTTGGTATGAGCTAATGCTGGCATCATGGAATAAGTTTGGAACTGCTCTCTTCAGGCTTTTGGTAGATTTTGGAAAGGATTTTTGTTCTATAAATGCTTGATCTACATCACCAGTGAAGCCAACAAAACAAGGGCTTTTCTTCATGAGAGGTTTTTAATTACTGATTCCATTTCCTTAGTAGTTTTCTATCTATTCAGATTTTGTATTTCTTTGTAATCAAGTCTTGCATAAGTAGGAATCTGCCCACTTTATCTAGGTTTTCCAATTTATCATCCTATCATAGTTCACAGTACACTTTTTTAAACATTTTATTTCTTTGAATTAGTAGTAATGTCCCACTTTCATTACTCATTTTAGTATGTGAATATGCTGTTAATTTTTCGTGTGTGTAGCTGAAGTTTTGCCAATTGTTAATTTTTTGAAGAACTGAGAGTGAACTTTTGGTTTTTTGGAATTCTGTTGTTTGTGTAATCTCTATTGCATTTATCTCTGCTAAAATCTTCAATACTTTCTTCTTTCTCTTTGTTTTGCATCTAATTTGGTGTTATTTTTCTAATTTACTAGGTGATAAAGTTATTATTTATTTGAAATCTTTGCTCTTTTTAAATGTATCTTAGCTGCAAACTTTTCATCTTAACACTGTTTTTGCTGTTTCCCATAACTTTTGATATGTTTTGTTTTCATTTTTCTTCCTCTGTATGTTCCTACTTCTTCCGTGATTTCTTCCTTTACTTAATTTATACAATTTTGTAATTCTTTAAGTTGTAATTGTGTAGTTGTTTAATTTATACAATTTTGTAAACTTTCTAGCATTTCATCTGTTATTGATTTAATTTGAGATCTACTATACAGCCCATCCTGGAGAATTCCCCATGTGCATTTGAGAAGAGTGTGTACTCTGTTTTGTTGGATGAAGTATATTGTATATATCTGTTAGATCAATTTAGTTCATTGAGTTAGTCAAGTCCTCTATTTCCTAATTTGTCATTCATCTCATTTTTCTATTCATTACTCAGAGTGGAGTATTAACATCTTCAACTATTATTTTAGAACTGTCTATTTGTCCCTTTAATTCTGTCAACTTAGTCTTTCTATATCTAAATGTTTTATTATTAGGTATGTAAGTGTTTAAACTATTTCTATCTTCTTGCCAAATGCACGTTCTATGATTATATAATGTCTTATTGTCTCTTGTAACTTTTTAAGTCTATTTTGTCTGCTATTAATATAGTCATCCCCAGTCTCTTTTTCCTACTATTGGTATAAAATAATTATTTTCTTCCCTTTTTTATAACCCTGAATTGCTGTGGAAAGCTAACAGTAGCATTACTTAATTTAAAAAGCACAGAAATCTTAAATCAATAGCTTAATGTTTGTAAAAGCATTTAAATGGAAATAAGCTACCAGTTCACCAGGAACAAAGGATATCAGTTGGGTCTAAGAATAATCATGCCAAAAAGCTCTAGGAGGAAAAGCTCCTGGGAATTAGGACTGTGATAATGGTCTTTGAGATCAACAAAGAAATGGGGAAATGGGGATGCTCAGGGTCAGGTACATGCTTAGCAAAAGACCCAGAAAACCCTAAGCTGTCACCTGTGTACTTTAAACTCTGCACAAGTAGAAAATAGAGGCACAAGGAGAGTTGTAACTTTATGCTGATTAGTAAAGGCATGCTCCAACACACATACATAGATCCCAGGTGAAAAAAAATCAGATATTTATTTTTAGTGAAGGTTAAAAAATCTGGAGTCTTACTTTCCAATTAAGGATTAGTGAAAATATTTGGGGAGATTTGCATTGATCAGTTCATCCTGAGGTCAAGAAAATCTTGATTTTAAAATTTGGAGCCTCCAGTAAAGGATTAGCTTCCACCTAGAGGTGTTCTTTGGCCTTTTGGACTCAGTGACACACTACTGGTTACACTGATTTGAAAGTCAGCAAAGAGCTTGCTACAGAACTCCTGACAAACTAAGTTTGACCTATAGAGGGCTAGGGCATCCCCAGCTGGTTGAAATTTTGTGCCTCCTTCTATCCTCTGAAGCAAAGCTGCTGTCTCTGTGGGGCCCCCAATTTACTGAGTGTTTCCTATATGACTGGTCCTGGTTCATAGATGAGTCAGGGAAGGTGAAACCTCATGATGTCCACTGGGCCGCTGTGGCTGTTTAACCTGTGCCAGCCATACAGAACCTGACATGAGTGGTTGCTCCTCTCAAAGGTCAGAACTCAGGGTTTGGGATAATGGCACATATTCTATCTGTTTGGTTATCTACAATGGAAAGTGTAGACTGTCTGAATATCTTTTGGGCTGCAAACCGGAAACAACCCCAGATGCTGATCTAACTGGGTCACTCATCTAGAAGTCCATGGTAAGTGTTTTCCAGAGAGTGACCACAATCAAGCTGCAGATTGAACCTAAATCTGTGTCCAACCCAGAGTCTAATACTGCAAACCAGACTTGGGGTTGCTGGTGAAAGTTGACCTATCTGTCTCATGGTTGAAGAATTCCTAGACCATACCTAGCAGAGTAACCAGAAGTGGACTTTTAGCCCACTTCTTGAGATATCAGTCACCACTGTTGACTTCTTCAGCATAACAGTCATCTGACTCCAGCCATACCATGTGTCCCTTGAAGCTAATCTGTGCCACCTTTTAGGCTTTTGAGGTCAATTGAGCTCTGACTTCGTGGCATTTTTCACCACATCGACTAAAATGGGCCAACTCTACGATGTTCCCTCCTTTTCCACACATGTTGGTTAGATAATTCGTTGATTAGGTATGCTTTTCTCTGAAAGGGGATTATCTCTTCCAGATTGCCTCCAAGATAAGGATGAAATGTTTGGGGGATCTAGGAATCTATTTCACAAATTTGGAATTTCGTGCTAATAATTCCTGGGTGAAATGTCTTTCTTTCCCATACCTGCAATTCTAGACCAGCCTGGCTTTTGTATCCTCTGAGTTGCATCCCAGCCTAGCAGCAGTTATGGGACTCCAACTTAGTTCTGGTTAAGTTTTATGTAAATATTCTTGTATCTGTTTTACCTGGCTCTACTACACAAAATGTCTAGAAAAAAGTAAAGGGCGACTAGAATAAAGGTGAGATTATAGATATCGGAATGAGACACACTGATTCTGTAGAGATAGAGGGAGAACAACAACCTGGAACGTGGGAAATGAACAACTTAGACCTCGGAAGCTACGGGGAATGGTGGGACATTAACAACTTTTTTTCTTTCTGAATAACCCCTGGTGCAGCCCACAAAAGAGTCTGGAAATACTATTAGAACAGACGGTAAGACAGAGGCTGTGGATTCAGCTCCTTTTGGTCTCCACGTTACTCTTAAGAATCCTTTGAGACTATTCTATCTCTCTGTGATGTAGGCATGGAACTCTAGTGGGCAGTGTGCACTCTCGGTGCCCATGGTTCAACGCCACAGTTTTTCAGATGATGGACAACCATTGCTTTTTCCTGAAGAGACTTAGTACCCTGTGGCTGAGCTTAAGCGGGACTCTAGGAATTACTGATTGCATTTTCTTCTTCTTCTGTGAACTGCGATTTCTCCTTCTGTTTTTCTACTACCTAGAGATTAATCTGTATTTGTCAATATTTAGGTAAATCAGAGACATAAAGCAGATAAGGAACCCTAGACACAGCTTCTAGCATAGCTGGACTCTTGCCTGTTTCTCTTCCCACTTTATGAGATCAATTATATTGGCACAGAGAGATAGCCTTAGATGGGTCTCTCAGGATCAATTAGAGAAGCATACTTCTAGAGAAGCTGGTAGAACAGGGCAGGAGGGCCAGTGAGGATCAAAGCTTCTATCCAAATGTTTTAGCCTAGCTGTGTGTGGCAGACGAATCCAGGAAAGCTCCCAGATCCCTGGAAGGGATTATTAAGAGAGGATCCATTAGATTAGAATGCTAGGTTGGGTGTTCATCTATCACCTTCTGAGTCAGATTTCCAGGGTTAAGTCTGTGGTAGGGCTGCAGAGAAATGCTCGCCTGGGAAAGCCTCTGATCAAGTGCAACATAGGTGACTCCCGCACAGGGAGAAGTCCTCTATTTGAGGAACATCATATGTGTTTGGATGTATCTGTGCTCTTCCTCAGCAGAGGACCATTGACTGAATGACTGTTTGACAATTACGCATAAAGAGCCCTATATTATTTTGAATTTAGTAAATATTGGAACAGAAACAAACAATATTATCTACTTTCAAATTGAATAACAGCATGAGCAACTTCCAGGTAAATGTCACAGGAGGAAACTCTGGGGCCTTGCTCATCACCAGAAACCTTGAAAATCCTGATGCAACCTGTAGGGTTAACCTTATCAACACTTAGTTTTTTACCATATAGATTTATCTTCATAAAAAATATTTTCTTTGGACCTTTATTTTGTTATATGCCATGAAGAATAAATCATTTATTTCCTTTGCGATAAGAACATCACATTTTTACACCTCAAGTATTAATGATGCCATCCCCCATGTAGTTTTTGTTGCGATGGCCTGAATGTTTATGTCCCTTTGCAAATTCCTATGTGGATAATTTTAGGCGTGTGGCCTTTGGGGAAGTGGTGAGGCCAAGAGTTCTTCATCTTCATGAATGGAATCAGTGCTCTTTCAAGGGAAGTTGAAGGCAATGCCCTTGTCCCGTGTGCAAGATGGTACCATCTATGGGGAACAGGGCTCTCAACATATACTAAATTTTCTGCTGCCTTGATCTTGCACTTTCCAGACTCCATAACTGTGAAAAATACATTTCTGTTGTTTATCCTTTACCCAGTCTGAGGTATTTTGTTATAGCAGCCTGGATGAACTATGACACTTTCTTAGGCACTTTGGTCTATTTCTGAATTTTTAGTTTCAGTGACATATGAGTTTTTAATCAATCAAGATTTTTCACAGAGCTTGCCAGTCTTGTTTTTTGCTTTTTTTTCAGAGTTTTCTTGTCTATTCTTATGTGTGTTTTCATCTATATAATATTTTATAGTAACGTGTACTTCCAATATTTAATGGTATCTGTATAGGAACAAAATTGAATTTATAAATAAACTTAAGGACAATTGATGTTGATAATATTGAGATTTGCTGCCTAAGAATATGATACAAATTGTCTATTTGCTTATGTCTACATTCATATATTTCATAAACTTTCTATGTTTTTCTCATATTCTGTACACATTTTTGTAATGTTTATTCCTAGTTTATTTTATTCTGCTAAAAAGTAATTTGAGACACAATGAAATTGCCAAGTGTCTATTTGAGTAAGAGCAATTGATAAATTATAAAATATCAGACCAAAAGTTATTTAGTGCTTCTCTGACAGAGTAAGAAGCAAGTATTTATTGAAAAAATGTAGAAACAAAAAAATCATTTGATTGGTGGTAGCACAACTTTTTTATTGTTTTTTGTTCGTCTGTTTATCTTGTTGGACAGTTTCTATTTATATAAGGATGTTGGCTACTCCTGATTGGTTGAGCTTCATTTCTCTTTTTTAAATAGGCAGCTACAAGAAATATTTAAGTTTTGCTTGTATTTGCAAATCAAGCAAGGTTGAGATCACTTATGAGACCTAACTAATTTCGTCTGCTCAGAGATTATTGAGACGTGATCTCCATTTTAATTTATTTTAACAAATTTTCTGTACTTTTAATTCCCATCCAAACTGTAACTTATAAATTATTATTGTTGTACATATATAGGCCCATGTTGTGTATGCTTTGAAGACATGTCCTGCTTTCAAACTCATTTGTATTATGTTATTATTGAATTTGCCCCATTTATTGGAATTATATACTGCAATCTCCCAACTACAAGAGGTATGAGTTCTGAGGAGATCACAGTAAAGATGAGTCAGAAGTGAAAACGGTTCTCCAACTCACACATGCAGTAAAAACAAATTTCACGTGGATATAATGAGTAATTATTTAAAATTTAAAATACCCTGAAAACATTAACGTTTATCTCATTACTATGTAATATGGAAATTACAAGACAAAAAAACCCAAAGACTTATTTTTAAAATAGAAATGGAGCTTTTTATATGATGAAATGGTCCATAATTTAAATGTAAAAAGTGAATAGGAAATACATGAAATAAAATAAAATTATTTGTAAAAGTGACAATGCCCGTATTAGATTTAACAATATCTTACAATGAAATAAGTTGAAACCTACAAAATAGAAGAAAGTTTAAAATTAGGCAAATATTATGAGCCAGGTGAAGAATAAATACATATATCAATAAGCATTTAATGTATTTTGTCTTAGATTTTATATGAAATAATAAAAAGTAAGCAAACCAATAGCAAGGTAATTTCACCCTGATTGATTCAAACTGAAAAAATATTAACATTTCTCCATTGGAAGTTGGATTCATGGATTGGCCTCATGCTGCATTCAAGGCACTTTAGCCAGGACCCAACACTCATTGCCAAGAGTCATCAGGCTAGAAGTTTGCTTTTAAGATGTTCCCCGGCCTGCGACCAAGACACTTTGTCTTGACTACTTCTTCAACTCTGACATAGGTTTTGCTGATATAAATGAAAACCCAGCTCTATACCTACCAAGCATCTACATGGCTAGAGCTGCACATTGAATATTTAGGCACTAGGCAAGAGGTCTTCCCAGGTTTCCAAGCAGACTTTCTAGAATTTCCCAAAAATACTGACATTGTCTTTTTCAGACCCAATCTCCCAAAGAGAATCAGAGAGATGGTCTGGAAGCCATTTAGAATCTCCAGCCTCCAATTTAGTAACAATGGACTTGGATACAAAGAGGCAACCTACTGACCTCAAAGACACCAGCCCAGATTCTGGGCATTGAATTCCTGCCTCCCCATGAAAGATCTCATCTGAGTCACATCAAAGCCCACACTCTTCTTCAACGTTCACCTTCCAGACACGCTCCAAAACAGCCCCTCAGAATTGTCTTGAGATGAAACAAAAGGTGATGAAGCTCCAGGTTTGGAATGCCTGCCTCATTCCTCACTCCTGAAAAGTCTACACCTGCTGGTTAGAACTCTCATACCTTAGGGAGCCCGGGCTCTCAGAGTGCATCCTCTAACAGGACCTCCTGGCCTTTTCCTCCTTGGAGGAGAGTGCCCAAGAATAAGAGGGAATACATGGCCTCCACTCTCACTTGACTTGATTGACTGATTAACTGATGTCTGAGGAGGAAACATATGTAGGGAACAGCCTGGGTCTTTTGAATCCCTGTTCCCCAGCTATGATGCCTGTGCAAATGGAGGGAGAATCCCAAAGTATTGTTGGGAGGTAGACAGACACTGGCTAACACAATTAAGTAAATATAAGGTGACTTGAAGGGAAATTTATCATATGTCATATACAAAATTTTAGTTAGTGAACTTTATTTAAAAACAGTCACAATTTGTAAGGGGAGTAAAGTATAATTTTAATGGGGAACTATGAAAATTATCTGCACTTGCTATGTAAATGATTGAGTTAGGGGTAACAATCTGAAGGTCATGAGCTTGATATCTGCTACTTAATTTCATAAGACATTTACTTGCAAATGGTTGTCATTTTTGCTCTCACCATATGAAAATTTTTTCTTGCTAAGAGCATTCCTATGAAAGAAAAACTAGAAATTTTGCCAATTTCGGTTATTAAAACAATAAAACTGGTTTGTTTGTTATTCTTAACCAAATGCTCCTACAGATGGCACATAGTACCCATGCTTTGATTGTTTTTTTCCCACCTTAAGTCAATTGCCTTTCATTTTATTCATCAAACTGTTTTTACTGTAGATAGACATTGCAGTTGTCATGTGCCCTATGGATTTGTACTTTATTAGAAATATGAATTCTCAGGCCGAGTATATTGGCTCACGCCTGTAATCCCAGCACTTTGCGAGGTGGAAGAGAGTGGATCACCTGAGGTCAGGAGTTCAAGAACAGCCTGACCAACATGGTAAAACCCCATCTCTCTACTATTTACAGTTCGCATTGTACCTTGCAATGAATATACATTTTATCCAAAAAGCCTAAAAAATAATGAAATTGGGGGTGGGGGCATGGCTGGAAGTATAGATAAAACAAAAATGACACATGACTAGCAGCTGTTAAAGCTGGGTGACTGGTCTGTTATACTTTTTTTGTATTGTGTATGTTTTTAGTGATCTGTAATAAAACACTTGTACAAAATGACAAAGTTTATCTACACTTAGCTCTTAAGGTCTTGGTTACCTTTGGGAAGGGGAAAGTGTCAGGGGCATGAACAAATCTGATTCTTAGATACACAAGTGTATTTATTTAGTAATAATTCATCAAACATTCCCTAAATGCTTTGTGCCTATATTGCTGTATGCATGTTATTTATCAATAAAAATGTAAAGAGTGCATGTTTGCATAACAATCCTAAATTAATATTTTAGAATAATAGCAATGTTTTGTTTTGTTTTCAAGTGGGGCGTGTTCACTCAGGACATCATCAGGTGTATGTTAATGTTCCAAGTTATTTATTTATGTTTTAACTTTTGGGTGAGCCCCCCTGGGTCTTTTAATTTTTACTTCAACACAGTAAGTAGCATGGTTTTAACTTTTTGGAATGCAGCTTTGTTTTCATCAAGGTTCTCCCCGAAGAATGATGCTCACCCAGGCCAGGGCACACAGTGACCCGTGCACAGGATGCACTGAGCACACACGGCACTGGGTGAACCAGGAACAGAAGGAGAAGCCAGCCTGGGTCTGCAAAATATACTTTGCAGGAAAAGCAGGTAAAATGGAAAGGTCACAATTCAGCAGCAAACGTTTTCACATTCATTGGAGAAATCATTTCTAACAAAAGCTGCTCGTTAAAGCCATGGTTTTCTGGCTTGCCTACACATTGTAATCACCTGCACGACTTTCAACCATATTTTTTTCAGATCCAGCTCCAAGGATTCTGATTTAGTTGTGCGGTTACAACTTGGGTTTAAGGGATTTTGAAAGTTTTCCTCCCCGCAGGTGATTCTCTTGCGCCAGGGGTAAGAAGCGCTGGATAGGGGTGAGGGATGCTTTAGCTGTGAGAGATAGCCATGTACGCTTCAGGATTTGCCCCATCGCATATCTGGAGTTCGGGGTCTTAGAAAGCTTTCTTGCCCTGTTAAAAATTAAAGGATGGCTTCAATACATACTTAGCTGCTTGGCTACATTGCAGAAAAACAAATTGCCTTTCCAGAGATCAGTTTTTTGAGACAGGGTTTTGCTCTGTCAGCCAGGCTGGAGTGCAGTTGTGTGATCATGGTTCATTGCAGCCTTGACCTCCCAGGCTCAGGTGATCCTCCAGCTCCAGCCTTCTGAGTAGCTGGGACTGAAGTCATGCACCACCAGGCCTGGCTAATTTTTCAAATTTTTTTTTTTTTTTTTTTTTTTTTTTTTTTTGTAGAGATGGCTTTCTCTATGCTGCCTGGGCTGGTCTCAAACTCCTGGTCTCAAGTGATCCTCCCACCTCAGTCTCCCTAATAGTTCGACCTACAGGCACAGGGAAGCATGCCCGGTATATTTATTAAAATGTAGTTACCAGAATATTTAAAATTCACTTGTGCCTCTCATATTATTTCTTAGAGAATTGCCTCCCTTTTGAAATCTCAGGCTGCCTGCTCTAAAACCTGGATGTGCCAGGAAAGTAAAACATCTGAAATTTTAAAACAATTGTCATTATATTGATTCCATATATGAATAACACATATATATTATTCATTAATACAAATAATCTTACATACAAATGTAAATGCAAATATTTTACAGGCAGGGCCAGTTTCTAGTTCACAGAGGAAGCCCTGCCAGAAAAGGATCCAGGAAAAACCTATAATTCTTGCTTTATTCAACCCAGTGTCAAATCACATATGTCACTCATGGTCTGAGGCGGCAGGGTAGGGAATTGAACTACATCCAATCATGGGTCTTGGAGTGGAAACTATCTAATCAGGTGCACAGCTGGAGAAGAATGGGCAGCTTTTTGGAAGTACGGAGGCCTTGGCCTGTCTCTCCACTCAGAGCTCAGGACACTAGAGCCACCTCAACATAATCACCTGTTTTTTAGTTATTTTAACACTCCAAAAGGGAACTAGTTTTCTCATGCATTTTCCAAATGTGTGGCAGGCAGAGACTCAAATCTAACTCCCTGTTGCCCCAGCCTAACTCTGGCTTGCAATCAGATTTTAAATTTCCAGTTCTTTCCTGACACTCACCAACACTAACTAACCTTCCATAATTCACAACATTATCAACTGTTCTTTATTGTACATTTCAGACACAGTATTTCAATTCTTCTTTTTGTCAAAAAGCAGTGGATGTCATTTAAAAAAATTTTTTCTCATTTGTAAACATTTTACAGGAGATGAAAGCAGAGAATAATCCCCTGACACCCCACTGTAAAAAAAATAAATAAAAAGCGGAAAACCTTTGTGCCCCTTTGTTTAAACTTCTCTTGGCACAGACACCCCATCAGAAAGCCTTTGGGTTCAGGTTTCATTTTGGAAACTTCACAGGGCAATACATCCTCAGCCATCCTGTTATTTTCTTGGTTTTGAATTTCAAAACTGTTTGAGGATTCCCCAAGATGCCAACAGTGGCCATGACTCTTGAAGTGTCTAGTAAATAGCATCCCTTGTGTCATCTCCTCTCAGGGAACAGCCCAAGGTATGGGAATGCAGCCTCTCTGTGGAGTGGTTGTTTGAGATGTGCCTGGAAGGAATCTCTAGGTATACCCTTGCGCTAAAAGCAAACCCATTAGGTCATTAAGATTTTCTTACCCCAAAGCTTAGTTTCCATTCCTTAGAGACACATTGCAGGCCAGGCAAATGGATGCTGATATTGAGGAAAAAATGTTCTCAGATTGGTGAAGGGAGAGAAAATATTTCAAAGGACAAAGAAACCCAACCTAGTGAGGCAGTGCAAAAACCTGCAAAGTAAAATGCACCTCAGGGACACAGAGGAGCACAGGGTAGCGACTCCTGGTAGGATGGTCATGACCCACTTCACTGAACCAGATGTGAGTGGGGAAAATATCCCAAGTAATAGAATGGCTTGACTTGACCCTTGGGTCTGATATGTCTGTGTTTCAATCGGCACTGTCACCTTCTAATTTTGTCACCTTGAAAATGTTTTTGTACTTACTTTAACTTCACTTTTTAATTAACTGTAAACTATGTTTTATCAGTAGAGCTTGAAAGGCATGAAAATATTTATAAAGCACATTAAGTTGGTGAATTTTGAATAAAATTAAGTAGTAATATATTTCACTTGTTAAAAATTGTTACTTGCCTATTTCTTTAGCAGAATGAGTGTCGTACATTTCCCAGGACTGTTTTTTATTTGTCTGAGAGGTGATTTCAAGCAGAATCTCACGACTTACTGTTGGGAATGTTACCAGGTGTATTGATAGGGATAGTCTCTCTTCCACTACGGTGGTACGAAATGAATACATACCTACAAGCACGTGAGGTAGATTAATTGTTAAATTACATAAATTTATCACATCAGTTATTCTTTTTTCAAAACAGAGAACTTCTGATAGTGAGTATCTCTGTTCCATATGCTGTCATCTGGGTGTTTGAGGGTAACGCTAAGTTTTAGGAGCTGGGACTTGGCACCGCCTGGAAGTGTTCACATATGATTGTTTACTAAATGATTTGTTATGAACATAATTAAATTACATGTTTATTTTCTGAAAGGGATAGATACTTTGGCTTTTCTTGTTGAGTTATAAAATGTAAGCCCCTTATAACTTTCTTTTTTAATTTTAATTTTATTTTTTAGACTTAGTGTCACTCTTGTTGCCCAGTCTGGAGTGCAATGGCACGATATTGGCTCACTGTAACCTCCACCTCCCGGGTTCAAGCAATTCTCCTGCCTCGGCCTCCCAAGTAACTGGGATTACAGGAATACACGACCACCCCCGTTTAAGTTTGTATTTTTAGTAGAGACTGTGTTTCTTCATGTTAGTGAGGCTGGTCTCGAACTCCTGACCTCAGGTAATCTGCCCGCCTCAGCCTCCCAAAATGCAGGGATTACAGGCATGAGCCACCATGCCCGACCATAATTTCCTCTCTTTTAAACCTTAGATTTGAATGATTTTTGCTGGATTCTTCAAACATGAAGTATTTTTTAAATTGAAAACTAATTGAATGACTTTAACTGGTAAGTAGAAGTCTTAGACCGTTGACTAAAAGCTAAGGCTAACGTTGACCCTGCAAAAGGGGGCCACTGAAGGCCCAGTTGATTATTCCTGGGTGTCTGCCCTGCAGACATCAAAGTCTGCTCACACCAACCATAGAAGGAGCCTTTGTCACTGTCAGAAGATACAGAGCTTTGGTAAGCTGGAAGTTGACAGGCAGATGCAGTTGGGGTTGAGATTGAAGAAAAGTTGGGATATTCTTTCTAGAATGGAGTTGTTATTGTCCTGAGACTGTTTATAGACTTTGTCTAAGAAGTTACTTAAGAAGTGTTGTAACAAGGAAAAAGTACAAATGATTAGATCTTTGAGGATCTCAAAGGTTAGGTGGAAAAGGGTTTTATTTCATAGGGAGGAGAAAATAAGTTTACAAAGAAGGTTGGAAAGGAAGCACAGGATGGAGGGTAGCAAAATCAGATCCCAGATAAGATAATGTTTCATCTTGAAGTCAGCCTGTTCTTAGGAGGGATATGTATAAATATGGGTTGTAGGTTCTCTGAGGCTGTGGGTGAGTCAAAGTTCAGGGGCTGAGGGAAGAAGGGGAACAAGCAAAGTTTTGTTAACAAGTACTCTGTTTTGACCACTGAAGACTAAATTACAGAATGGTTGTTCATTTTTAAAAATAGGAATTTGTAATCTGTGTCCGTCTTTGTGATAGGTTAAAAAAAAGGGGGGGGGGGAACATCCACAAAGTCATAATGGGAAGCACGTTTCTCTTCACTAAGCTGTTCTTTGAGAACACAAAGAATGGGGGAATTTCTTTAAATATAGCTATTTCCAGGATTACCTTCACCCACAACTGTTCCTTTTCCTAGACATCTCTTTCATTTGTCAGTTTCTGAGTTGTATTTTTATAATAAAGTGGTAAATATAATTAGACTTATTTGTTGAGTTTTTTTGAGTAACTCTATCAAATTATTTAACTTGAAAAGGGGTTTATGGGAGTCTCAGATTTATAGGCAGTAGCTCAGAAGTATAGATGGGCTTATGGGACATGTGACTAACCTCTGCAGTGAGAGGGGTGATGTGGGACTTAGCCCTGAATTTGTGGGATCTGTGCGAACTCTAAGTTGTGTCAGAATTAAATTTTGGGGCAAGAAATGGGTGTTGAAGAAGCAGTGGGTTTTCAGGGAACTTTACACATTTAGGATCAAAAGTGTTGTAAGGAGAAAGACAATGTGGGGGCCTTTGCTGGAGAGAGACTCCAGGTGTCTCGGGGAAGGTAGGCTCTGCTCTGCACACAGGCTGCTACGCCATGCACTGCCCTGTGGTTCCAGGCATCCTCCCATGGTAAGAAGGACCGACGACTCTGAGGGAAGAAGTTCTGAGAACAGATGCCTTCTACCCTCCTGCCAACTTGAAGCCACCACATGTTTTTCACCCACTGAACATACACACTGCATGTTGACGTGGTCAAGCCCCTCTCAGGACAAGGCTTTGGCATCAAGATTGTTGCCCATCCTACCTTTCCTCATAGACTTTCCCACCAAAAACCCACACACGTGCCTACAAGACCCCTGGCATATGTTCTACTTCAGACACCGAATCTGCAGTGGCAACCTGGTTTTTTCACCATCGCAGATTTCTGTGCCACCTGATCATAATCTCGTCTTCCTGCATGAACATAGAAATAACTCAGAGAAAAGTTTCACCTGGGTCAGTGTCTGTAGCATGAACCAGTCCTCCCACCAACCCTGTACAGTCTCTCACTTCTGGTTTCTTAATAGCACCTTCCCCTCTTTTACCTTTTAGTTCACCTCAAACCCTTTCTTTTATGTGCACACAGTGTGCCCAAGGCCACCCCTCAGTTGCCTGAATCCAGCACCTACCAAAATTCAGATGTCCAGTAGTTCAAGACCATGGGCCTAGACTAAGTTTTTGCAGAAGGCAATACAAATTAGAAATGAGAGGCTCTATTCTCCCATTTGAAAATAAAAAAAAGATTTTTTTCTTTTCCTTTTTCTTAAACAATGTAATCTGGAAAACTTTAATTAGTAATTTTTTGAGGCAGAATCTTACTCTTTTACTTAGCCTGAAGTGCAACGGCATAATCATAGCTCACGGTAACCTTAACCTCTTGGGTTTGAGCAGTCCTCCTGCATCAACCGCTTAATTACCTAGGACTATAGGCATGAACCACCATGCCTGGCTAGCTTTATTTATTTTTGTTTTTATTTTTTTTCAAGACAGTGTCTTGCTCTGTGGGCTAGGCTGGAGTGTAGTGCCATGATCTTGTCTCAATGCAACCTCCACCTCCCAGGTTCAAGCAATTCTCCTGTCTCAGCCTTTTGAGTAGCTGGGATTACAGGCGCACACCACCATGTCTGGCTAATTTTTTGTTATTATTATTTTTAGTAGAGAATGGGTTTTACCATTTTGGCCAGGCTGGTCTCCACCCCCTGACCTCATTATCCACCTGCCTCAGACTCCCAAAGTGCTGGGATTACAGGTGTGAGCCAACATGCCCAGCCATATTTATTTTATTTTTTTGTAGTGACAGAATTTCACCATATTGCCTGTACTGGACTCAAACATTTGGCTTGAAGGTATCCTCATGCCTTGGCCTCCCCAAATGTTCAGATTACAGGCATGAACCACCATGAGTGGCCTGGAACACTTTTACATGTACCTTTTTTTCTCTGCTTCTTTGAAATATAAGCAAATCATTTTAACAGCTAAATAAGCCTTCTGTCATTCTTCATGACAGAGAATTGTCTTTATCTAAGACCTGGAAACTATTGCTTTGTTTTTTAATTTGGCAAAGATTTATTTATTTTTTATTTTCAGTCCTTTGAAGTAGGCACAGCGCAGTACAGTGGCTCATGTTTTTAATCCTAGTGCTTTGGGAGGCTGAGATGAGAGAATTGCTTGGGCCCAGGAGTTTGAGACCAGCCTGGGCAGCATAATGAGACACTTTCTTTATAACAAATTAAAATCAACTAGCAGGGCATGGTGGCACAGGAGGCTGAGGTGAGAGAATCATTTGAGCTCAAGAGTTTGAGGCTGCAATGAGCCATGATCACTCCAATCTACCACTGTATTCCAGCCTGGATGACAGAGGGAGACCCTGTCTCTAAATAAATAAGCAAATAAAAAAATGTGTTTTTCCATACATAAAAATAAGTTAATAAACAGATAAATAAAATAGACATGGATTTGCTTAGAATAAAGCTAATTATAAGATAACAGAAAAGTGAGCACCAAAGATGGGGTTCACCTTAGCAAGTGATTCCAGCCTATTAGGACACTCACAGAATTCTCCCTGCAGCATGACCAACATGAAAGTAGAATGTCATCATGTCAGGCTATACCAGCGTTGGAAGACTAAACACTGTGGGGAAGAACCTCCCTTATGGAATATTATCAACAGGTGAGAGACCAGCTCCTGCCCTGATGGGCTACAGAGATGAATTCTTGAGATAACACATTGCAGAAACATGCATAGAGTAGTTTAACCTTTTTTGTGTGTAACCCTTTCTCCATTTTCCTGCAAAATCCTCCCTAGAAATAGTGTTCGCTTTTAAGTTTTGAGGGTCTGGTAGGACTGAAGCTGCATGCTGCAGGAGATACCTGGGGTAGGAAACTAACACAAACTGCAGCTACAGGCACAAATACTCATGGCCTAATGTAAAGTGAAAACAATAGAAAGGTCTTTACTGTTATTCACCCAAGTGAGTGAACAGAGACTTTCCACATAACCAACTTGCCACTGAGACTAATGAAGGCCAGATTCCACTGGATCAAGACTATGAGTTACTCATGGGAAGATCATAGGACACAGCCCAGAGAGTTTTCATACTGGAGTCTGGGTACTGGGTCTGTCCCGGTCTTCTCG
The DNA here is from genome assembly GCF_000001405.40 of Homo sapiens. Classification (NCBI taxonomy): domain Eukaryota; kingdom Metazoa; phylum Chordata; class Mammalia; order Primates; family Hominidae; genus Homo; species Homo sapiens. Next base: position 6,349,777 of record NC_000021.9, on the reverse strand, counting down.
GGTTTCTGTCTGTAGAGACCCCTATGTGGCTGCTCTTACCACAGCCCGGTGCTGGCTGTGGTTGCTGGCTTAGTGCACCTGGTCTTTTTCCAAAAAGAGGGAGGAGTTGGCCACATCAAGAAGCTCCTCATCAATCTGAATGCAGCTCTGTAAAAAGTGCCTAGAAACCACGCAAAGAAAAGTCAGTGGTCTGCCTTGTTTTCACCGTATGTGACACCTCCACTAGAAATTCTGCTTTTCTCTGCACTCCAGCCTGGGTGACAGAGCGAGGCTTCCTCAAAAAGGAAAAAAGAAAAAGAAAAAGAGAGAAAGAAAGACAGAAGGAAGTAAGGAAGAAGAAAGAAAGAAAAAGAAAGAAAGAAAGAGAAAAAAAGAAGAAAGAAAGAAAGAGAAAGAAAGAAAGAAGAAAGAAAGAAAGAAAGAAGAAAGAAAGAAAGAAAGAAGAAAGAAAGAAAGAAAGAAAGAAAGAAAGAAAGAAAGAAAGAAAGAAAGAAAGAAAGAAAATAAAAGAGAAAAGAAAAGAAAAGAAATTCTGCTCTTCAGATTAGGCACATAAGGAGAATCTGTATGAATCTCCAGCAAGGAAGGAAACCAGAGGACAAGTTAAAGTCTTGGAATTCACATCTGAGTACACAGACTCGTTCTCCAACCCTCTTCTTTTTATTCTGCCAGCTATGGCCTAGGTATGAACATGACAGGTACACAAGGGTTCCAACACCTGACAATCTGCTTCAGTAAAAGAAGAGTGCCCTCCCTCTTGCTCCCCATACAACTCATGGTACTAAGAAATGGTGTGGGACTTCCCAGATGAGTTGACAAGAGAGGCCTGGCTCTGGGGCCTGTCCTGAGCTGCCCTGTGTTATTTGTAGGTGCACCCAGCCAATAGCCAGGGGCATCAATGATGAGGCCTGAGTTGACATCCGTGTTTTCAGATAAGGCTTTTACACTGAGCCTTTGTAAAGTCAAAACTCAGAAATTTCAGGGCACAATGAAAGAACATCTCACTCTCTTGAGCATCTCTCACTAACAGAGGTGGATACAGAGCTGTCTCAAGAATGTGGGTTCCTGGTTTCTTAACTGATGTTGGGTTGTCACCAAGAAAGTGTGTTAAACTCTTCAAGGTTCCATCTACTGGGTCCCTTCTTTCTGTAAGACCTACCCAAAAGCCCCACTATGCTACTAATTGCTCAGTCTCCTCTTCCATGTCAACTCTTCATTTGTACACAAGTATGCAAACACAACTTCCCCTTAATTCCCTGGAAAGAACTAAATGCAGCCTGGGTTCCAGGATATAAGAGACAGCTGGAACATAACCTTGTTTTTCTTACCATCTCTGGGACCCAATAAAAGTCACTGTGTATTTGAGGCTTCCCCAGCCTCCAAGCATGCACAGTGGGGATGATGCTAACATCTACTTCCTAGGGATTGTATTAGATGTATATAAGATAAAACATAAAAATCATGTGGTGTTACCTGTAGATAATGCACACACTTAGAGATGGAAGCATTAGGAGAATATGTAGAAGGTAGCATGGGCCACAACTCAAACAAGCCTGGGTCTGGCAGGGTGATCTTGGGAATGTCACTTCTCCACTGCGCTTCATTTTCATTCTGCTCCAGTATGAAGTTGAAATTAAATGTAGATACTGTCCTCTGGCATTCATATAGTTTAGCTGTGTGTTCCACCCAAACTTCTCTGTGTATTGTAACCCCCAGGTGTTAAGGGAGAAACCTGAGGGGAGATGATTGGATTATGGGGACGGGTTCTCCTCATGCTGTTCTTGTGATAGTGAGTTCTCATGAGATCTGATAGTTTCATAAGCATCTGGTACATCCCATGCTCTCACTCACTTCACTTGTCAGCCACTGTAATTGGAAGGTTTCTGAGGTGCCCTCCCAATTATGTGGAACTGTGAGTCAATTAAACTTCTTTTCTTTATCAATTACCCAGTCTCAAGTACTTCATCATTGCAGTATGACAAAGTCCTAATACAGCCATTCAACTTTCTAGTGCTTTCTCTTTATATTTAGAATCATATCCATGTGCCTTCTCACGTCTATGACAGGGAAACTCTTCACAAAATCTCACAGTACTAGGTGGTTAGTGACTCAGTTTTTTATTGAATAAAATGGCCTACAGCCTGATGACAGTAATATGGCCCTTGGGTTTTGAGGAAAATATCATGTTGTAGGTTGGCCAAAAAGGAGATAGCAGTCCAGCTGAAATTTGTTTTCTTATACTGGCTTTAAGGCAGTGATTAGAAAAGGCCTAAGAGGTGGGTTCTGTAAGGGATTGCTGGAAGGAAAGTAGGAATATGGAAAGTCATGAGACATATACTGTCATCTCTTCTTGCTTCCTCTCAAGTCACATGCAAATTCAGGGAGAGTTAGTATGAAACACACAATGGAAATTTGGGCTCTAACATATGCAATCTGATTCTTCATGGACTTCATTTGGCCATATCAGTTCCAACAATTTCAGCCAATGTTTAAAAATCTTATAAGCAGATAACATTTTAGTGTTTCAACAAGCCATTTCCTATCTTTCATTCTGAAAATCCATTTTAAGTCATTTTTTTAACAGCATAGGGGTACAAATTCAGCTTCTGTCCAATGAAATACAGAAAAGGATATCACTTTTGTATTAGTTCAGGCTGCTATGCCAAAGAACCATAGATAAGCAGCTTATAGACAACAGGACTTAATTTCTCATACTTCTATAGGTTCGAAATTTGAGATCAGGTTGTCAGCACGGTTGAGCTCTGGTGATGACTCGCTTCTGAATTTCAGACTGCAGACTTCAAGTTTTACCATCATTTTGCAGAAGGAGGAAGAGAGCCCTCTGCGGTTCCTTGTATAAAGCCAGTAATCTCTATTATGAAGGTCCCACCCTCAGGAGTTAAGTACATCTTTCATCCGTATAGCATTACAACGGGGGTTACAATTTTAACATAAATACAGGAGAAAAATTATTGGAACTCTCAAGATTTTTGTTTCCTTTTTTTTTTTTTTGAGACAGTTTCACTCTTGTATCCCAGGCAGGAGTGCAGTGGTGTGATCTCGGCTTGCTGGAACCTTCGCCTCCCAGGTTCAAATGATTCCCCTGCGTCAGTCTCCCAAGTAGCTGGGATTACAGGCATGCACCACCACACCTTGCTCATTTTGTACTTTTAGAAGAGACGGTGGTTTCACCATATTGTCCAGGCTGCTTTCAAACCCCTGACCTCAGGTGATCCACCCGTCTCAGCATCCCAAAGTGTTGGGATTACAGGTGTGAGCCACCGCACCCTGTCAAGATTTTTCTAAAGCTCTCATTTTTCTCCTACTGGGTTTTTCCTGTTTGCGCCCTCAATCTTTCTCTGTCTCTTTTTGTGTACACCTTTTTGTCTAATTCTCTCTCTCTATTGTATACCTCAAACACAGGAAGCAAGCTTCAATGCTATGAGATGCTCCATGTAAAGACCAACATAACAGAGCCTGAGGGGGTGCTCAGACCAGTAGAGAGAAGGAAAGTCAGGCTCTCCAGCCACACTAAACCCTGCCAATTTTCACATGAGTCAGCTTAAAGGCTCATGCTTTCCCAGTCCAGCTTCAGTTAAGACCACAGTCCCAATGTCATAAAAGACCTAAAGGCAGAGGTACCCAACTGAACTGTGTCCAGATTCTGGTCCACATAAATTATGAGATATTATATGTTGTTGAAAAGTGCTGACTTTTAGGGCAATGTTGTCAGAAAGGAGCAGATATCTAACCTCATCTCCCAGGCCCTAGGATTCTCCATCCCTCTACTTATATCTTCCTCAGGCTGTCTGCAGCCAAACTTTCTAACCTCTGCCGAACTCACACCTATGAGTCTCTTCACTAAGGGTGGCTTCTCCCTGACACATACTTGTGCAGAGATGTCTCCCTGTTGTCATCCTTATCATGGATTAAACATCACCACAATGAGGCCTTAGTTCCTCCCATGCAATAATTTTCCAGCTTTTCTTCTCAACATTCCACTTTATATTATAGTCCTTCCTCTTTTCTTTCACATATACTTGCTTTAGTGCTTTTATCCAGCTGTCCTCAGAATGTTTGGTCCTGGGTTGGGGGGTGCAGGCATCATGTAATAATTTTCTGTACCACGTTGCACCCACCTGGTTAGCTGGCAAAGGGTGAGCGCAAGGGAAAAAAGACTGGCTAAGTGATTATATGGAGGATCTCTAATATCCCTTCCTCTTTTGACCACCTGATAATGTGGAGATCATTGATAACAACATGAGATGTGTGACTCTTACTTGTTCCAGCTGCTCCAGCAAAGCTCAGTGGGCACCAGAAACAGAGCTGGCTGTAACCACCTCCAGGCCATCACTAACTCTATGGCCCAATGCAGGAGCACTATGGAACAAATCAGGTATCTTGATTTTTCTGTCCTCAAGACACTGGTTCTTCAAGGTCCTAGGGGATAAAGTAGCAGAATCTGAAGGCCCCAAGTACAATGAGTGACCTTGGAATCCCCCTTTGCCTTCTATTTGCCTCTACCTTTTGGGTTGTGCTATTTATCCATGAGATATCCTCCCCTTATCCAGTGAAATTAGTTTCTACCACTTTCAAATGAGGACCTTAAGAACCCAACAGGAGCTGGGATTTTCCGTGGACTTCAGCCTCAGAGTCCAATGCTCTGGAACATTTAGCTCCGTCTCATCTTCATCTACCCAAGATGCCTCTGAAGTGGCCATGCCTCCCTCTGATTTGAAGGACCTACAGAGAGTGGATGCATTTCTGCACAGTCTCAGAGCAAGAATCAGGGCTGGAAGACACTTATGAGTATGTGAAATCGTCGAGGTCACCCAGTTCAAACAGCCCTATTTATGAGGAAGAAAACAGGCTTTCCTGCAGGCATTCTCTACATTAGGCTGAGGTGGAGCATAGCTCATTTTACTTCCAGGTGCCCTCAGAGCTGGATGCAAAACCCCAGTCCTGTCATCTTGAAATTGACATGGAGAGGTCCCCATGTGAACAGAACCCTGGATCTGCTCATTCTCTGTGCCCCTGAATGTGAAGCTACAGGCTCTAACTTCCAAAGCAAACCTGATAGGTGGGATGGAGCCAAGGCCTAGGAAGCTGGAGCTCTCTCTAATGCTCTGGAGCCTGCCCACCTCCTGAGATCTGGATCAGTCCCTGCCTCTTTTGGGGCCTCATTTTCCCAATTGTAATGTAATGAGAAATTAAATGTAAAATTGCATAAGCATATGCTCTGTGAGAATTTGGTGTCAGAGTCCTCAATACTGGATGATATATTTTGGTGGGAGGGGTTTGGGCCCCAGAGGTTCTCGGGACTCCTGACATATCCATTGCAGTAGGTGTAGAGCTCAGGAGATCCAGATCTTCTTTCCTGAGCCAGCTGATTACAATACAATGGACCACGGGCTATGATCTTAAATATGATTTCACAGGATTCCCCACCTTCAGCCACCATCTGCTCTGTGCTTCCCTTATTTTGGGGAGCTGATGACAACCTCCATTATAGTGAGAGAGTCCAAGAAACTAGACTTGTGGACCTGGAGAAAAGAAAAAAACACTTTTCTATTTCTCTCAAACTGTAGAATCTGTTGTCAAATATTTAATTTTGATTCCATCTGAGCTTGATAATACGTTCATGTGTTAAGAGCTGCTTAAATTTATTTTTTCTGTGGTGTGGGATAATGTCTTTTCCCATATTTTAAATCAACTTCTAAAAGCTCTCTTTAAAGTGGAGATGTGAACATCTTTGTGATATAAACTGCACATATTTGTTGCGAGATTGTTCTTTTTCTCTTTGTTAAAATGTTTTGTTTTATTCTGGTTTGGATGTCCTTCAGGGTTTTGTTTTGTGGCTATTTATTACTACAATGCAACTTCTCCCCTAATTGACTGACAGGTTTGTACATTCTCAATAAAATATTTTGGTAAAGTCTTTGTAAAAACTGTGTAGACAATTTTACAGTTTTCATAAACATAAAACAGTCAAGACTGTCATGATGAAAAAGAAAGATTGAGGGCTTAAAAATTAAAATATGACACAGCTAAAGTAGTGTGCAAAGGGAAATTTATGGCACTAAATGCCCACAAGAGAAAGCAGAAAAGGTCTAAAATCGGCATCATAATATCACAATTAAAAATCTAGGGAAGCAAGAGCAAACAAATTCAAAAGCTAGCAGAAGACAAGAAATAATTAAGATCACAGCAGAACTGAAGGAGATAGACACACAAAAAGCCCGTCCAAAAAATCAACGAATCCAGGAGCTGTTTTTTTGAAAAGATCAAGAAATAAATAAACTGCTAGCCAGAGTAATAAGGAAGAAGAGAAGAATCAAATACATGCAATAGGAAATGATAAAGGGGATATAACCATTGATCCACAGAAATAAAAATTACCATTAGAGAATATTATAAAAAACTCTTTACAAATTAACTAGAAAATCTAGACGAAATGGATAAATTCCTGGACACATATACCCTCCCAAGTCCAAACCAGTAAGAAGTCGAATGCCTGAATATGCCAATAACAAGTTCTAAAATTGAGGCAGTAACTAATAGCCTACCAACCAAAAGAAGTCCAGAACCAGAAGGATTCACAGCCGAATTCTACCAAAGGTACAAAGAGGAGCTGGTACCATTCCTTCTGAAACTATTTCAAACAATAGAAAAGAGGTACTCCTCCTTAACTCATTTTATGCATCCAGCATCATCCTGAAACCAAAACTTGGCAAAGACACACCAGAAAAAGAAAATTTCAGGCCCGTATCCCTGATGAATATCGATGCGAAAATCCTCAATAAAATACTGGCAAACCGAATCCAGCAGCACATCAAAAAGCTTATCCACCACGATCTAGTCAGCTTAATCCCTCGGATGCAAAGCTTGTTCAACATATGCAAATCAATAAATGTATTCCATCACATAAACAGAACTAATGACAAAAACCACATGATTATCTCAATAGATGCAAAAAAGGCCTTCAGCAAAATTCAACACCTCTTCATGGTAAAAACTCTCAATGAATTATGTATTGATGGAACTTATCTCAACATATTAAGAGCTATTTATGACAAACGCACAGCCAATATACTGAATGGGAAAAAACTTGAAACATTCCTTTTGAAAATCTGCACAAAACAAGAATACCCTCTCTCATCACTCCTATTCAATATAGTATTGGAAGTTCTGGCCAGGGCAATCAGTCAAGAGAAAGAAACAAAGCGTAATCAAATAGGAAGAGGAACTCAAGTTGTCTCTGTTTGCAGCTGACATGATTGTATATTTAGAAAACCCCATCGTCTCAGCCCAAAATCTCCTTAAACCAATATGCAACTTCAAAAAAGTCTCAGTATACAAAATCAGTGTTCAAAAATCACAAGAATTCCTATACACAATAATAGACAAACAGAGAGCCAAATCATGCATGAACTCTCATTCACAATTGTTACAAAGAGAATAAAATACCTAGGAATCCAACTTAAAAGGGATGGGAAGGACTTCTTCAAGGAGATCTACAAACCACTGCTCAAGGAAATAAGAGAGGACACAAACAAATGAAAAACAATCCGTGCTCATGGATAGGAAGAATCAATATTGTGAAAATGGCCATACTGCCCAAAGTAATTTATAAATTCAGTGTTATCCCCATCAAGCTCCCATTGACTTTCTTTACATAATTAGAAAAAAAACTACTTTAAATTTCATATGGAATCAAAAAAGATCCTGCATAGACAAGACAATCCTAAGCAAAAAGAACAAAAGTGGAGGCATCACACTAGCTATCTTCAAACTATACTAAAAGGCCACAGTAACCAAGACAGTATGGTACTGGTACCAAAACAGATATATTGACAAATGGAACAGAACAGAGGCCCCAGAAATAACATCAAACATCTACAACCATCTGATCTTTGATGAACCTGACAAAAACAAGTAATGGGGAAAGGATTCCTTATTTAATAAATGGTGTTGGGAAAACTAGATAGCCATATGCAAAAAAATGAAACTGGACGTCTTCCTTACTAGTTATACAAAAATTAACTGAAGATGGATTAAAGACTTAAATGTAAGACTTAAAACCATAAAAACCCCCCAAAAAACAAAGGCATTACCATTCAGGACATAGGCGTGGGCAAAGACTTCATGACTAAAACAGCAAAAACAATGGCAACAAAAGCCAAAATTGACAAACGAGATGTAATTAAAGTAAAGAGCTTCTTCACAACAAAAGAAACTATCATCAGAGTGAACAGGCAACCCACAGAAAGGAGAAAATTTATGCAATCTATCCATCTGACAATGGGCTAATATGCAGAATCTACAAAAAACTTAAGCAAATTTACAAGAAAAAAACAAACAACCATATCAAAAATGGGCAAAGGACATGAACAGACACTTCTGAAAAGAAGACATTTATGCAGCCAACAAACATATGAAAAAAAAACTCATCATCACTGGTCATTAGATAAATGCAAATCAAAAACACAGTGAGAAACCATCTCACTCCAGTTAGAATGGTGATCATTGGAAAAATCAGGAAACAACAGATGCTGGAGAGGATGTGGAGAAATAGGAACACTTTTACACTGTTGGTGAGAGTGTAAATTAGTTCAACCATTGTGGAAGACAGTATGGCAATTCCTCAAGGATCTACAATGAGAAATACCATTTGATCCAGCAATCCCATTACTGGGTATATAACCAAATGATTATAAATTATTCTACTACTTAGACACATGCAAACATATGTTTATTATGGCACTGTGCACAAGAGCAAAAACTTTGAACCAAACCAAATGCCCATCAGTGGTAGAATGAATAAAGAAAATGTGGCATGTATACATCATGGAATACAATGCAGTCATAAAAAGGATGAGTTCATGTCCTTTGCAGGGACATGGATGAAGCTGGAAACCACCATTCTCAGCAAACTAACACAAGAGTAGAAAAGCAAACATCACATGTTCTCTCTCATAGTTGGGAGTTAAACAAAGAGAACACAGGGACACAGGAAGGGGAACACCACACACTGGAGCCTGTCAGGAAGTGGGGGACTATGGGAGGGATAGCATTAGAAGATATATTCCTGGCCTAGGCCACTATTGCGATTTTCTAAATTTTGTTTCAAAAACATGATGTTTCAAAAATTGTTATTGATATGTAATTATACAAATATATAGTTCAGAAAAAAGAATCAACATTAATTATGCTTTTTCCAAAATACTTTATGGTTTTGAGCTCTTCTAGCAGTGACATTTTTGCTGTAGGTAGTTGCTCTATATCTGGTATATTCATCATAGCATCCTTTGTACCCTTTACACTTATCCTTCAATTTCCCACTCTCCTTAAGTGTAAATTTTCAAGGCCAGAGCTCCCATATCTTCCCAATATTACTTTTTGAAAAGAAGCTCCTATGTACTGTTTTGTCTGGGTCTTGTTGGATATAATGCTAAAAGAGCTGGAAAATAATAATTTTTTAAAAAATTCGGTGATGAAATTAAGGTAAATATATTTTATAAATCTAATGAACAAAATGAGGCCAGCTGAGAACACAATGATAGTTGAAGAAGAACCTGAGATCCTGTTTCTCTCAATGGATGTATGAACTTAACTGCAATTGGGTGAGCAAAGCCAGTTGAGTTTGTAGCACCCCTCATGAGAAAAAAGCCAACCATAACCACATTTAGAAGAAAGAAAATTTGGTTACATTTCTGCACTACAGAACAGTGCAGTTAGATAAAATTCTGTCCATTCCATGATTCTCCCTCGGGAAAGAAAACAGAGTGAAACGTGTATGCAAACTTCTGACTTATTGATTTATACCTTTAACATTTAGTGTTGACCAGAATAGAGATAGAGTTTAAATGACAGCTTGGGTCGACTGAGAATAAAGATAAATATTTCTTACAACAAAGAGACTGTAGTGCCTGCAACAGTGACAAAGAGAAGAGACTAAAGGCTCCTAAGAGGAAAGAGAGGTAAACCTTATTAACAAGAAAATACATACAGTACAAAGAAGACACATTTTGACAACAGATTGGAGAAGCTCCCGGAATGACTAGTGTGGCTGAATATTGTCAATTTTCCCATGTACAAAGCTTTTTCATAAAGGATAAAATAGGTAGTGGTTTCTTAATTGACCAAAACCTTAACAAAACCACAGTACTTAAAAGCAACCAGGAAATATAGCCTAATGAAACGAGAAAAATATATATTCAAGTGACCCTAAAGAAGTGGAGATCTATGAATTATTTTTTAACTTAAAATCATTTTATTTTTCTTTATTTTTTCATTTTATACACAGGATCTTACTCTATCTCCTGGGACAGATTGCAGTGGTGCAATCACAGCTCACTGTAACCTCAAATTTCTGAAGTAAAGCAGTCATGCCTCCTATGTCTCCTGAGTAAATATGACCACAGTTGGGCACACTACCACACCTGTATAGTTTCTTTAAAAGAATCTGTACAAACAGAATGTTGTTATGTTGCCTCGGCTGGTCTCAAACTCCTGGTCTCAGGCAATCCTACTGCCTCAGTCTGAAAGTGCTGGCATGAGCCACCATACCTGGAATTGTTTCTCTTTTAAGAAAAAAGGACTTTAAATCATTAATAGTAAAATAAAACAAAGAAAGGCATTGCATAACGATAGAGAGTTCAATTCAACAAGAAGACTTAACTATCCTAAATATAGATGCACCCAACTTTGGGGAACATAGAGTTATACAACAAGTACTGCTAGACCTACAATAAGACTCAAGTAGCCACGCAATAATAGTAGGGAAACGCAACTCCCCAATAACAGTGTTTGTCAGATTATCTAGGCAGAAACTTAACAAAGAAATTCTGGAGTTTGATTTCGCACTTGATCAATTGAAACTAATAGACATTTATAGTATACACCACACATCATCTAAGGAACATAAATTCTTCTCATCGCTCACAGAATATACTCTAGGATTGACCACTTCCTAGCCATAAAGCAATTATCCATACATTTTTTAAAAATGAAAATTATGCCAACCATACTGTCAGGCCACAATGGAAAAAAGATAAATATCAATACCAACAAAATCTCACAAAATCACAGAATGGCATTGAAATTAAACAACTTGCTCCTGAATGAATTTTGGGTAAACAACAAAATTGAGGCAGAAACTTAAAAAAAATTTGAAATAAATGAAGAGACACAATATACTAAAATGTCTGGGTTGTAGGAAAAGCTCTGTTAAGAGGAAAGTTGAGAGTGCTAAATACCTGCATCAAGAAGTTAGAATGATCTCAAACTAACAATTTAACATCACACTTAGAGAAACTAGAAAAACAAAAACAAACTAACCCCAAAGCTGGCAGAATGGCAAAAATATTCACAACCTATAAACCTGACAAAATCTAATACTCAGAATCTATAAGAAACTTAAAGAATTCACAAGCAAAAAATTACCCCATGAAAAAGTGGGCAATAACAGACAATGTTCAAAAGAATACATACAAGTGGCCAAACAACATGAAAAAAGCTTATCACTAACCATCAAGGAAATGTAAATAAAAACCACAGTAAGACACCATCGTACACCAGTTAGAATGGCTTTTGTTAAAAAGTAAAATGATAGTAGATATTGGTGGGGTTTTAGAGGGAAAAAACCACTTATACACTGTTTATAGGAATATAAATTAGTTCAGCCACTGTGGAGAGCAGCTTGGAGATTTTCCAAATAACTGAGAGTTGAACTATGATTCAACGCAGAATTTCACCGCTGGGTGTATACCCAGAAGAGAATAAACTATTCTACCAAAACAGCACATGCACTTGTTGGTTCATCACTGCATTATTTATAACAGGAAAGACATGAATCAACCTACGTGACTATTAATGGTATTTTTTTTTTTTTGAGATGAAGTCTCACTCTGTTGCCCAGGCTGGAGTGCAGTGGCACTATCTCAGCTCACTACAACCTCCACCTCCCAGGTTCAAGCAATTCTCCTGCCTCAGCCACCCGAGTAGCTGGGACTACAGGCTCATGACAACACGTCCGGCTAACTTTTGTATTTTCAGTAGAGACGGGGGTTTCATTATGCTGTCCAGGATGGTCTCGATCTCCTGACCTCATGATCCACTCACCTTGGCCTCCCACAGTGCTGGGATTACAGGCATCAGCCACCGTGTCCAGCCTATTAATGCTAAATTGAATTTAAAAAGTGTCACATGTACAGCAATACTACTTAGCAAAAACAACAACAACAACAAAAAAACTTGTCCTTTGCAGCAACATTAATACAACTAAAGGTCATTCTACAATCAAATTAATGCAGAAATGGAAAACAAAAATACTGATGTTCTCACTTATAAATGGAAATTAACACTGGGTACACATGGACATAAAAATAAAAATAAAAGACAACTCTTAGAGGGTGGAGAGAGGGAGGGATCAAGAACTGAAAAACTGTCTATTTAGTACTATGCTCACTGCATAAGTGATGGAATTACTTATATTTCAAACCTCAGCACTATACAAAATACCCATGTAAAAAACCTGTGTAGGTACCTCCTAAATCTAAAACAAATTTGAAATTCTAAAAGGCGGTCTTACTCTCTCACCCAGACAGGAATACAATATCATGGTTATAACTCAATGCAGCCTCAAATTCCTGGGAACTCAAGGAATAATCTTACATCAGCCTCCAACTTCCGAGACTACAGGAACATTCCACCATTCATGATTAATCTGTAAAAATATTTTTTACATATAGCTTCTCACAATATTGCCCAGGGTGGTCTCAAACTCCTAGCCTTAAGTAATTGATATGGTTTGGCTCTCTGTCCCCAACCAAATCTCACCTTGAATTGTAATAATCTCCACATGTCCTGGGAGGTACTCTGTGGGAGGTAATTGAATCATGGGGGTGGGATTTTCCCATGCTGTTCTCATGATAGCAAAAAAGTCTCACGTGATCTGATGGTTTTATAAGTGGAGATTCCTCTGAACAAAGTCTCTTGCTTGCTCCAATAATTGTGAGACCTCCCCAGCCATGTGAAACTGTGAGGCCATTAACCTTTTTCATTATGAATTATCCAGTCTTGGTTATGTCTTTATTAGCTGCATGAGAATTTATTAATACAGTAATCCCCTTGCCTTAGCTTTCAAAGTAGCTGGAATTAGACACAAATATCAATGTGCCTGGCTAAAACACCTAGCTTAAAGATGCTCATTCAGCTAAAGAAGAACATAGAAAGCTAAACAGAAAAAGAAAACAATTCATGAAGATAATGAGATTATCAATGAAGTGATTAAAAGTATAAAATAGAAACATAAAGTGTGGAGCTGAAAAATAAAATACCTGAATTTAGAGATTCACTAGAAGGTCCAACAACTGGTTTGATCTAGCAGGAAAAAATCCAGCAAGCTTCATAAAAAGTCATTTGAAATTATATGGTGAGGAGGGTAAAAATAATTTTAAAAATTAAGAAAGCCTAAGGGACTTATGGGATACCATTAAGATGGCCAATATACTTCTAATGGGAATTCTAAAATAAAAAGAGAGAAAAGAGAGCAGCAAAGTTATTTCAAGAAACAAACAGTGGCTGAGAACTCTCAAAATTTGAGGGAGAAAATGGCCTAAAATTTAATGAAACTTTACCAACTAGTAGCAACACAGGGAGACCCATGACAAGACACATTTTAATCAGAGATTCAAATGTTAAAACACCGAGAATCTTGAAGTCAGCAAGAAAAAATGACTTAGCATGTACAATGTTACCCCTATAGGATGACCAGCAGATGTCTCAGCCAATAGAATGCAGGCAAGAGGTTGTAGGATGACATACTCAAAGTGCTGAAAAAAATGGCAAATACCAACCAAGAACACTATGTCTGCCAAAGCTATCATTTCAAATGAATTAAAAAATAAAAATAAAGAATATTCAAGATCAACGAAAACTGTATTAATTTATGCACACTAGGCCTGTATTAAAAAATGCTAGTCATTCACATTAAAAAATAAAATAATGATGAGAGCAACATAGAATTATGTAAAATATAAAGTTTTCTAACAGATAATTATGTACAGAATTATAATATTCTTTGTTATTATAATGAAGATGCACAGAATACTTTTAATTCTGCTATGTAGTTGAGATAACAAAGACTTAAAAATGACTATATAACTGTGCCAATAGATTCACAATATAAAATGATGTAATTCGCGACATCAATAAAACACATAGGGAGCCATAAAGAGGCAGGGTTTTATATGCTATAGTAGTTATTTTTGGTAATATCTATAGTAACAACAAAGAAAATACCTATAGTACTTAGGATTTTGAGACTAGTCTGGTCAACATGGCAAAACCCTGTCTCTATGAAAAATAACAAAAATTAGCCAGGAGTAGTGGTGCACATCTGTGGTCCCAGGTACTCAGAAGGCTGTGGTGGGAGGATTGTTTGAGTTGAGCCTGAGAGGCAGAGCTTGCAATAAGCAGAGATTGTGCCACTGCCCTCCAGCCTGGGCGACAGAGCAAGACCCTGTCAAAAAAAAAAAAAAGGAAATACCTATAGTACACACACACAAAGACATACACACAGAGAGAGTAGTGAGAAAAGAAGTAAAACATGTCACTATAAAAATCAATAATACGCTAAGAAAGAGAACAAGAGAGAAAAACAGGAAATAATAGCTACAGGACAGGCCAGGAGCTGTGGCTCATGCCTGTAATCCCAGCAATTTGGGAGGCCGAGGTGGGGGGATCAACGAGGTCAGGAGATTGAGACCATCCTGGCTAACACGGTGAAACCCTGTCTCTACTAAAAAAAATAAATAAATAAAAATAAAAATAGCCGGGCATGGTGGCGGGTGCCTGTATTCCCAGCTGCTGGGGAATCTGAGGCAGGAGAATGGCGTGAATCCGGGAGGTGGAGCTTGCAGTGAGCCAAGATTGCACCACTGCACTCCAGCCTGGGCAACAGAGCAAAACTCCTTCTCAAAAGAAAAAGCTACAGGACCTAAAACAAAAAAGAAACAAAATTCAATAGAAAGTCATAGGAAATCATTCCCTTTTAGTAATGATTTTTTATATATATAAATTATGTCAATCAAAAACATACTTTCACTAAATAAATTCATGAAACAAGATTCAACTCTCTGCTTCCTACAAATGACCACATTATGATCTGGAACACGCATAAGCCATACATGAAAGAATAAAAAAAATTAAATGCAAAATCAAATATTGTCATGGTAGACAAAATATATATTATATCAAAAACTTCCTCAAGAGAGAAGAAGAAAAAGACAATAAAAACAACAACAATAAAAGCAACAAAAAACAACATACATCAATAAAAGCAACAATAAAACAACATACAACAATAAAAGCAACAGTAATGTATGTGCCTTACATCACAGTTCCCAAAATATGAAGCAACATTTTACAGAATTGAAACATGAAGTAGCCAGCACATAACAGTAGATGACTTTTTTATCAGACTTTTAGTAATGTAAATTAAAAAACAAACATAAGATGAATAAGTAAACAGAGGATTTCAACAACACAATAGAACAATTAGACCTAACAGTCATATTTATGTCTCTCCACTCAACAGTAGAATATGCAATACTTTTAATCACACATGCCAAAATATTCCAGATAGACCACCTGTTAAGTTAAAAAACACATCTTAGCAAATTTAAGCAGATGGAATTACACAAATTATTCCTAACTATGATACAATAAAACAAGAAGTTAAAAACACTAGCATGTCAAAGAATAAGTAAAATTAAACAACAAATTCTCAAAAACACTCTTGTTCAAGAGGTTATAGACTTAATATTGTTAAAATGTCACTACAACCAAAAGTGGTCTACGGATTCAATGTTCTTTCTTTTCTTTTCTTTCTATTTATTTTGAGACGGAGTTTTGCTCTTGTTGCCCAAGGTGGAGTGCAATGGTGCGATCTCAGTTCACTGCAGCCTCCACCTCCTGGGTTCAAGCTGTTCTCCTGCCTCAGCCTCCTGAGTAGCTGGGAATACAGGCATGTGCCACCACACCTGGCTAATTTTGTATTTTTAGTAGAGATGGGGTTTCTCCATGGCTGGTCTGGAACTCCTGACCTCAGGTGATCCACCTTCCTCAGCCTCCCAAAGTGCTGGGATTACAGGTATGAGCCACGACCCTCAGCTGATTCAATATACTTTCTATCAAAATACCAATGAAACTTTTTGCAGAAGTTTTAAAATATTCTACAATTTTTATGGAATTTCAAGTTATCACAAACAGCCAAAAAATATTGGGAAAAAAATATAAAGACAGAGGCATCATGCTTTCTATTTTCAAAACATACTACAAAGATATAGTAATAAAAACAGTTTGGTACTGACATAAAGACAAATGAATGATGAAACAGATGAGACAGTCCAGACATAAGTCCTCATGGGTATAGTAAACATATTTTTAAAATGTGTTCCAAGAATCACAAAAAGGAAAGAACAGTCTCTTCAACAAACAGTATTGGGAATAATAAAAATTTACAAGGAAAAAATAACAAAGTTAGACCTTACCTTGCACCAGATAAAAACATAAACTCAAGGCTGGGTGTAGTGGCTCACACCTGTAATCCCTGCACTTTGGGTGACAGAGACAAGTGAATCACAAGGTCAGGATATCAAGACCATCCTGGCCAACATGGGGAAACCACGTCTCTACTAAAAATACAAACAAAAATTAGTTGGCAGTGGTGGCACACGCCTGCAGTTCCACACACTCGGGAGGCTGATGCAGGAGAATCTCTGGAACCCGGGAGGCAAGAGTTTCAGTGAGCTGAGATCATGCCACTGCGCTCCAGCCTGGTGACAGAGAAAGACTCCACCACAAATAAAGAAATAAACTCAAAATAACTAATTTTTGGTAGCTATTAAAATGGAATTTAAAATTTTATCGCTATCATCATACAGAAAGCTACTACTGTGTTAATTTTCTGCAATGTTACAGAATTTGTTTAGTAGTTCTAATAGTTTTTGGTGTAGTGTTTAGAGTTTTTCACATATAAGATTATTTTGTCCACAATGAGAGACCATTTGACTTCATCCTTTCCAATTAGTATAACTTTTATTTCTTCCTCTTGCCTAATTTCCTTGGCTAGGACTTCCAGTACTATGTTGAATAAGAGGGCTGAAAGTTTGGATGATTTGTCTTGTTCCAGATCTCAGAGAGAAAGCTTTCAACTTTTCCTTATTCAGTATAAAGTTAGCATTGCTTTTTCATAAATGGCCTTTACTGTATTAAGGCACATACCTTCTATTCCTAACTTGTTGAGAGTTTTCATCATAATGAAGGCTGAATTTCATCCAATTCTTCTTCTGCATATGCAAAAGCTACAAAAATGAAAATACTTAATGTGATGGCTAATACAGGGTGTCAAATTGATTGGATTGGAGGATAAAAAGCATTGATCCTGGGTGTGTCTGTGAGGGTGTTGCCAAAGGAGATTAACATTTGAGTCAGTGGGCTGGGAAAGGGAGATCCACTCTTAATTGGGTGAGCACCATCTAATGAGCTGACAGTGAATATAAAGCAGGCAGAAAAACGTGAAAAAGAGAGACTGGCCTAAGCTCCCAGACTACATCTTTCTCCTGTGCTGGACACTTGCAGCCCTCAAACATCAGACTCCAAGTTCTTCAGCTTTGGGACATGGACCGCCTCTCCTTGCTCCTCAAACTTGCAGACAACCTATTGTGGGATCTCATGATCTCTCTAGGGAAGCCCAACTAATACACCTAGCAACAAACTTAACTAAAAAGGTAAAAGATCTCTACTCTGAAAACGACAAAACATGGATAAAAAATATAAAATACAAATGAATAAATGAAAAAATATTGTGTTTATACACTGGAAGAATACTCTTGATCTATCTACCCAAAGTGATCTACAGACTTAATGTGATTTTTATCAAAGTACCAATGACATTTTTTCACAGAAATAAAAAAAATTTAAATTTATATGGATCCACAAAAAACTCTGAATAGACAAAGCAACTTTGAGCAAAATAAGCAAAGCTAAAGGCATCACTTCATCAAACTTCAAAACTTGCTATAAAGCTACAGTAACCAAAACAGCACTGTACTGGCATAAAAACAAACTCATAGACTAATGTGCCGAATAAGCCCAGAAGTTAATTTATGCACCTAAAGCCAACTGATTGTCAACAAAATTGCCAAGAACACACTTTAGAGAAAAGCTAATCTCTTTAATAAATGGTGCAGGGCCACTTAAATATTTATATGCAGAAAAATAATACTAGACCCTTGTACCTTGCCATATATGATAATCAACTAAAACTAAAGACTTAAATGTAATGCCATCAATTATGAAACTATTAGAGAAAAACATAAAAAAATGCTTTATAACATTGGATGGGGAAAGGATTATTAAAATAAGATTTCAAAACATGGGCAACAAAATCGAGAATAAGCAAACAACATTATGTCAAACTAAAATGCTTTTCCATATTAAAAAAACAACTAGAAGTTTGAAGAGACAGCTTAGGCAATGACAGAAAATGTTTTCATATACATGTGACAAAAGGCTAATATTCAGAATATATAAGAAACTTTAAAATCTCAAAATAAAATACACTTATAATCTAACTTTAAAAATGCAAAAGATCTTAATAGATGTTTGTCAAAAAGAGATACAAAAATGCTAACTGGAACATAAAAAGATGCTCTACATTACTAATCACCAAGGAAATGCAAATCCAAACCATAATGAAGTACCGCCTCATTCCCATTAGAGTGGCTATAATAAAAATAAATAAATAAATCAAGAACTAATGAGGATATAAAAAAGAGTGGATGTATACCTTGTTGGTGGAATTGTAAATTAGTATGGCCATTATAGAAAATAGTATGGAGGTTTCTGAAAGAAATTAAAAATATATCTATTATATGATCCAGCAATTTTACTTCTGGGTGTATATCCAAAAGAAAGGATATTACTGTGTCAAAAAGATATTTGCATTCCCATGTTCATTACAGAACTATTTATAATAGCTTATATATGGAATCAATTCAAATGTACAGCAACAGATAAATGGATAAGGAAAATGTACTATATATACACAGCGAAATACTATTCAGCCATAAGAAAGCATAAAATTCTGTCAGTTAAAAGAGCATGGATGAACCTTGAGCATACCATGTTAAGTAAAATAAGCCACATAGAGAAACACAAATACTTTATGATCTTATTATCTCACTCATTTGAGGAACCTGAAAAAAAGGGTTGATAGAAGCAAAGAGTACAACAGGGGTTACCAGAGACTGAAGCAGGAGGATGGGAAAAGGTTGCTTCACAGGTATTGTGTTATGATTAGATAGGGGAAATAAGTTTTTGTTTTTTATTACACAGTAGAATAATAATAATTAATGAAAAGTTATCTCATATTACAAAATAGCTAAAAGAGACCAGTTTCGGTGGCACATTCTTGCAATCCATACATTTTGGGAGACTGAGGTAGGAGAATCACTTGACGTCAGAAGTTCAAGATGAGCCTGGACAACATAGTGTGACCCTGTCTCTATGAAAAATTAAAACATTAGCCAGGCATGGTGGCAGCTTCCTGTAGTCTCAGCTAATTGGGAAACTAAGGTTAGAAGACTGTTTGAAGTTACAGTGAGCTAAGATTGCACCACTGCACACCAGTCTGGGTGTTAGAGCAAGATCCTGTCTCTAAAAAAATTTAATACTTAAAGATAAAATAAAATAGCTAGAGAAGAAGCTTTTGAATATTCTCACCACAAAAATAACAAATGCATGAGGCAACAAGTATAGAAGTACTCTGATTTTTATTGTTATACAACATATATATATAATTGTTTCCCCAAAATATGCACAATTACATGTGTCAATTTTAAAAAATGAATGAAGACTATAATGTAAAACCTATAGCTGTAAAATTCCTAGCACAATACAGAAGGGTGAAGCTTCATGACAACTGGTCGTGGCAATAATTTGGGGGACGTAACATCAACGGATGAGACAACAAAAGCAAGGGAATACACATGGTACTGAATCAGTGTATGAAAAATATCCCAAACAGACAAAGCAGAACATGGAATAGATATATGCACATTGTAGTATTAGTCACAAACATGTTACCTGGAAGCAAATGTACCCTTAAGGATGAGTAGATTCAGCAAACAGGGCACGTACAATCACTGGGATAGCATTCAGCCTTAAAAATAAGGAAATCTTGAAAAGTACTACAATAAGGACAAATATTCAAAACATTCTGTTAAGTAAAATAAGACAGTCAAAAAGGAAAGCTGTATAATTACACTCATGTAAAATATTTAGTCAAACTCAAAGAAACCAAGTGTCATAGTCTCAGCAGTGCACCAAGATGTAACAGTCTCTCGTAGTCTGAGATAACATCCAGAGTTCTTTGTTCTACCTCTAAGGAGATTAAGGAGTGTAAACACAAAGGTGAGGTTGGAGTGAAAGTTTAAGAAGCAAGAGAAGAAAGCTCTTTGCCAGCAGAGATAGGTGTCTGAAAGTGGTGCCCTCTACGAGGCTGGGTCCAGGGTTTTTATGGACTGGGAAGGGAAGGATATGTGCCTAGTTCACAGGCTGTCTTGAAAAACGTGTGGCTCAGCTTGGCCCAGGCCTTTGGCCCAGGACCAATCAGGAGCTGAAGGGATGATTGATAGATGCTGCTTAGCTTGGCCCAAGACTTACCAGAAGCTAAGGTGAAAGTTTGGCCAAGGAGCTTGGCACGGGAGCAATCAGGGGCTGAAGTAATTATTCATAGAGGTCAGACTTACAGTCCAAATAAAGGAGAATGTCTACCGGAATGTACCAGATTCCACAGTGTCCATGCCAACAAAAAGAGAAGGAACATTTTCCTGGGAGCCCACTGACTGTACAAAGACAAAGGTGTTTCTTTTTTTTTTCTTTTTCTTGTCTTTCTTTCTTTTTTTTGAGATGTACTTTCTTTTTTTATTTTATTTTATTTTTTTTGCAGTTTTGCTCTTGTTGCCCAGCCTGGAGTGCAATGGTGCGATCTCGGCTCACAGCAACCTCCACCTCCTGGGTTCTAGCGATTCTCCTGCCTCAGCCTCCCAAGTAGCTGGGATTATAGGCATGCAGCACCATGCCTGGCTAGTTTTGTATTTTTAGTAAAGACAGGGTTTGTCCATCTTGGTCATGCTGGTCTCAAACTCCCGACCTCAGATGATCCGCCCACAGCTGCCTCCGACATTGTTGGAATTACAGGCATGATCCACCGTGGCTGGCCAAACAAAGGCATTTCTGTGCTAGGTCGTTCTTGTTCCTTTATCTGAGTGAGCTGGAGGTTTGTACAAGTTTTTATCCAAATGGGCCAGAGGTTTTTCTATCTCTGCAGCCACGGGCATGTCTCCAAGCACAACAACATATGTTAGTTCCCTTGTTAGTGTCTGCAGCTTGATTTTTTCCAGGCTTCTTTACATGTTATGCAGGGATGAGGCACTGACCAGGGACTTTCCAGGGACTCTTCTCTTGCTATCTACCTAAGGTAAGCTAACTAACTTCTTTCACAAGTAATGAGTATTCACTTTTACTTTTGTAAGACAAAAATTATCTAAAAGCTACTGCAAAACAATAGAACTATACTAACCACTTCTAAACCATATACTTAAAATTTCAGAAATGACAATGGCATGTTTTTAACTACAATTAGAAATTTAAGACTAACTAAAAGGCACAGTTAGAAAACCTTTCAAACATCACCTTCAAATAACAAAGGGTTATTCTCACACAATTATATGGATTTAAACTATATGTTGATTGTAAATTTAAGATTATTTCCCTGATGACTCACCAAGATAGAATAAAATAATCACTGGAAACCAAGAAAAGAGGGAAATTTATAGCACTAATGTCCACATCAAAAAGCTAGAAAGGGCTGGGCGTGGTGGCTCATGCCTGTAATTCCAGCACTTTGGGAGGCTGGGGTAGGCAAATCACTTAAGGCCAGATGTTCAAGACCAGCCTGGAACACACAGCAAAACCCCACCTCTACAAAAAAAAATTCAAAAATTAGCTGGTTTTTGTGATGCACATCTGTAATCCCAGCTACTCAGGAAGCTGAGACAGCAGAAATCACTTAAAACTGAGAAGTGGAGGTTGCAGTGAGCAGAGATCATGCCACTGTACTCCAGCCTGGGTGACAGAGTGAGACTCTGCCACAAGAAAAAAAAGAGAAACTAGAAAGATCTAAAGTTAACAGCCTAACATCTTGATTAAAAGAACTAGAAAACCAAGTGAAAACTAACCAGAAAGGTAGCAGAAAACAAGAAATAACCAAGATCAAAGTAGAGCTGAAGGAGATAGAGACACTGAAAACTCTTCCAAAAAAAAAAAGTCAACAAATCCAGGAGCTGTTTTATGAAAAAAATTAATAAACTAGATGGAACACTAGCTAGGCAAATAAATAAGAAAAGAAAGGAGAACCAAACACAATTAGAAATAATAAGGGAGATATCATCACTGGTCCCATGGAAATAAGAACAACCATCAGAGAACACTATAAACATCTGTATGCACATAAACCAGAAAATCTAGAATAGACAATTTCCTTGCAAAATAAACCCTCCACAAGACTGAACCCTGAATAGATCAATAATGTGTTCTGAAACTGAGGCAGTAATAACTAGCCTACCAAGCAAGCTGAATTTGACCAGAGGTACAAAGAGGAGATGGTACCTTTTCTCCTAAAACCATCCAAAAAAAATTGAAGACAAAGTTCTCTGTAACTCATTCTATCAGGCCAGCATCATCCAGATACCAAAACCTAACATAGATACTACAACAACAACAACAACAACAACAACACATCATGCCAATGTCTTTGGTAAACACTGTGCAAAAATCCTCAATAAAATACTGGCAAACCAAATCCAGCAGCATATTAAAAAGTTCATCTGCAACAATGGAGTTGGCTTTGTCCCCAGGATGCAAGGTTGATTCAACAAATGCAAATCAATAAATGTGACTCATCACATAAAGAGAACTAAATAAAAAGCCACATGATTATCTCAATAAATGCAGAAAAAGCATCCAATAAAATTCAGCATTCCTTCAGGTTTAAAATTCTCAATAAACTAGGAAGTGAAGAAACATACCTGAAAATAATAAGAGCCATATACAACAAACCCACAACCAATATCATACTGAATGTGCAAAAGCTAGAAACGTTCCACCTGAAAACTGGCACAAGAAAAGAATGCCCTCTTTCACCACTACCATTCAATATAGTATCAGAAGCCTTGGCCAGGAAAATCAGGCCAGAGGAAGAAATAAAGAGTATTCTAATAGAAAGAGAGGAAGTCAAATTATCTTTGTTTGCAGATGACCTGATCCTACATCTAGAAAACCTCATTGTCTCAGGCCCAAAGCTTCTTAAGGTGATAAGCAACAGTAGCAAAATCTCAGGATATAAAATCAATGTGCAAAAGTAGCTAGCATTCCCATGCACAAACAACAGGCAAGCAGGGAGACAAATCATGAATGAACTTTCATTCACATTTGCTACAAAGAGAAAAAAATACCTAGGAATACAGCTAAGAAAGAAAGTGAAGGACCTCTTCAAGGAGAACCACAAACAACTGCTCAGAGAAATCAGAGTGGACACAAAACAGATGGAGAAATATTCCATGCTCATGGAGAGGAAGAATCAGTATCATGAATATGGGCATATGGCCCTAAGTAATTCATAGATTCAATGCTATTCCCATTGAACTACTGACATTCTTCAGAGAATTAGAAAAATAAAAACTTTTAAAGTTCATATGGAACCAAAAAAGAGCCCAAATAGCCAAGCCAACCTTAAGAAAAAAAAAAAAAAAGCTGGAAGTGTCACTCTACCTAACTTCAAACTATACTAGAAGAGTACAGTAACAAAAACAGCATGGTACTGGTATAGAAACAGACACATAGACAAATGAAACAAAGTAGAGAACCTAGAAATAAAGCCAAAAACCTACAACAACCTGATCTTTGACAAAGTTAACAAAAACAAGGAATTAGGGAAAGGTGTCCCTATTCAAAAAATGGTGCTAGGAGAACTGGCTAGCCATATGCAGAGAATTTAAACTGGAACCCTTCTTAACACCATGTACAAAAATTAACTCAAGATGGATTAAAGACTTAAATGTACAACCCAAAACTATAAAACCCTTAGAAGAAAAAATCTAGATAATACCATTCAGGATATAGGCATGAGAAAAGACTTTATGACAGAAAGGCAAAAAGCTATAGCAACAAAAGCAAAAATTGACTAATGGGGTCTAATTAAACTAAAGAGCTTCTGCGGAGCCAAAGAAACTATCATCAGAGCAGACAACCTAGAGAATGGGAGAAAAATTATGCAACCTATCCATCTCACAAATGTCTAATATCCAGAATCTAGGAGGAATTTAACAAAATTTACAAGAGAAAAAAAAAAGGCCCCATTAAAAAAGGGTCAAAGAACATGAACAGACATATCTCAAAAGAGGACATACATGTGCCCAACAAACATGAAAAGCTCAACATCACTGATAACTGCATAAATACAAATCAAAACCATAATGAGATACCATCTCACACAAATTATAATGGCTATTAATAAAAAGTAAAAAAAAAAAAAACAGATGCTGGCGAGGTTGTGGAGAAAAGGGAACACTTTTACACTGTTGGTGGGAGTGTAAATTATTTCAAGCATTGAGGAAGAGAGTGTGGAGATTCCTCAAAGACCTAGAAGCAGAACTACCATTTGACCCAGCAATACCATTACACCCAAAGGAATATAAATAATTCTATTTTAAAAATACATGTATACAAATGTTCATTGCAGCACTATTTACAATAGCAACATCATGTAATCAATCTACATGCCCATCAATGATACACTGGATAAAGGAAATGTGGTACACATACACCATGGAACACTATGAAGCCATAAAATGTAATGAGATGATGTCCCTTGCAGGGACATGGTTGGAATTTGAAGCCATTACTCCCAGCAAACTAATGCAGGAACAGAAAACCAAACACCGCCTATTATTATTCTAACTTATTAGCAGAAGCAGATCAATGAGAACACATGGACACATCAGGAAGAACAACACACACTGGACACCTGTTTCATGGCATGGGGGAGGGGAAGGAGAGCATCAGGAAGAATAGCTGCGGATGCTGGGCTTGGTACCTGGGTGATGAGATGATCTGTGCAGTAAACCACAGTGGTACGCATTTATGTATGTAAGAGACCTGCATACTCTGCACATGGACCCCTAAACTTAAAATAAAAGTTGAAAAATAAACTTTATCACATATGGACCCCTGAACTTAAAATAAAACTTGAAAAAAAAATGTGTTTCTGGTGGATTCTCTATGTTAGACCCAAACTGAGGATCTTGAAGCTCTCGCTGGGGGAATCGGGGATGGGGGCACACTGGGGAGCCGCTGCCAAGGCCAACCACCCTCCCTACAAGCCACCTCCCTTCCCGGCCAGTATGGAAAGGAGAAGGGGTATGTGAACAGCTGTGGAGGTCAGAATCTCGGGAACTGAATCAGGCCCCAGCCCATGCCCCCCAGCCCAGCCCTCAGGATTGTTAGATGGAACAAGGCTCCATCATCACCCAGGCATGGAGGGAAGATGCCCTGGT
Source organism: Homo sapiens (assembly GCF_000001405.40). Classification (NCBI taxonomy): domain Eukaryota; kingdom Metazoa; phylum Chordata; class Mammalia; order Primates; family Hominidae; genus Homo; species Homo sapiens. The sequence goes on along the minus strand of NC_000021.9, from coordinate 6,324,092 downwards.
CCTTACCAAGCAAGGCCTGGTTTCCAAAGTCCTCTCCGAAGAGGCCTCATGTTTGCCACATCTTAAAAGTCCCCTTTCTGCTGTTCTTGCACCCAGCATGTTGGACAGTCAAGTTCCCCCGCTGAGCAATCCACACATAAGGAGGGAGTCAACACCATTGCTATGTCGGATCAGCTCCAGCGTCTCCAATATCAGTTTTATCAGATCCCAGGAACCTGCCTGCTCCCAGAGGTGACAGAGAAAAATCAAGGAAGGATCTGTATGGTCACTGACCTGGATGAAACCCTTGTGCATAGCTCCTTTAAGCCAATCAGCAATGCTGACTGCCTAGTGCCTGTAGAGCTTGAGGGGACCATGCACCAGATCCATGTGCTCATGAGGCCTTATATGGATGAGTTCCTGACATGAATGGAGGAAATGTTTAAATGTGTTTTCGTCATTGCTCTCTTCTTCCCAGCCTGAACAAGTAGGCAGATCCTGTGACGGGTGAGCTGGACGGGTATGGGATGGTCTGGGGCTGCCTGTCCCATGAGTCATGTTTGTTTCACCAGGGCTGCTATGTCAAGGACGTCAGCCATCTGGGGAGGGACCTGAGGAAAACTCATCCTGGACAACTCGCCTGCTTCTTACATCTTCCACACAGAGAATGCAGTGCCTGTGCAGTCCTGGTTTGATAACATTCCAGACAGCAGCTGCTGCACCTGATATCATTATTTGAGGAGATGAGTGGAGGAGCAGAGGGTGTCTACACTAGCCTTGGGCAGCAGTGGGCCCTTAACCTTCCCTGCTTCCCAGCAATGGCCATCACAGTAGGGGATTTTCCCACACTGTGCCTTTATGAACAGCCTGAAAGAGTGAAGGCTGGAACACCTACCCACATGGGCCTGGAAACAGTGAGAAGTGATTGAAAAGAGCTTTAGGACAGCTTAGATGCCCAGTGGGTGAATGCCAGACCAAGGATACCCAGAGCTACCTGCCATCAAGTTGTTGGGTTCCCGAGATGGGGGTGTGAGAGAAAGAAAGACAGCATGTGTGTTTTGCTATGAACTGTGGCCCCAAGTATATAGTGTTTCAGTAGAGGAGAAGCTGAAGGACAAAGACTCTTCCCAAGCTAGCTTGTCTCCTCTCCTGTCACCCTATGAGCCCCTGAGATCCATAGGGATGAAGAGTATTGAAGGCTCCGTTGCAAACCTGGTCTTTCTTCAGTGCTGCAAGGCCTATGCCAAGGAGAAAGGAAAGGTATGCCTTTGGGTGTTCCAGGCACACATCTTTCTGAAATATTTCTCCAGCCAGTTGTTGCAGACAAAAGACGACATTTCTGGGAAGATGGGGACTTATGTCCAGACGAGTACCCAAACTATCAGGTCTTCTGGCCCAAAGGCTATTTTTACTTACCTCTAGCCAAGTGCCTGGGATGGATCCTTTCTGCGTCTCACCAAGGCTCACCACTTAGCCATAGCCTCAAACCCGTGGGGAAGGAAGGTCTCCCCGCCCTGCAAGAGGACAAATAACTGATTTTTGTTCATTTGACTCTGTTTTAAAATTCTCTTTAAAAAAAAAAAAAACAAAAAAAAGAAAAAGAAAGCATATCTGAAACTTAAAAAAAAAAACAAGGAAAAAAGATGAAAAAAATGACATACTTACATAGGTGAAAAACACATAGATATATCTATAAGCAACAAACACAGCTAATTCAAATATAAATTAAATATCACATTGTCATAATGTGTACCGAGTTAAAAAATTATCATTCAACTCATGATATCAAGCTTTAAAAGCAAAAATACAATTAACTGCTCTGAGAAAACATACCCCCCCAGAAAAGAAACACAACAACACAGAACTGAAAATAAGAAGAGAGATTTTAATGCATAAAATCCTGAATACAACATAAATATACAATGAAAAATAAGCCCTTTTTGTTTTTTTTTGAGACAGTCTCACCCTGTCGCCCAGGCTGGAGTGCAGTGGTGCCATCTCGGCTCACTGCAAGCTCCGCCTACTGGGTTCACGCCATTCTCCTGCCTCAGCCTCTCGAGTAGCTGGGAATACAGGCACCCGCCACTATGCCCGGCTAATTTTTTCTATATTTAGTAGAGACTGGGTTTCACCGTGTTAGCCAGGATGGTCTTGATCTCCTGACCTCGTGATCCACCCACCTTGGCCTCCCAAAGTGCTGGGATTACAGGCATGAGCCACCGTGCCGGGCTGAAAAATAACCCTTTAGATATCTACAGCTTTAAACTGTGTGCAGTCATGAAAAGCAGACATTAGAAGTCATTGGCATTTAATAAATTGCAGTAAAATTATACAGTAAATACATTACAATCATTAATAATAGGCTTTAATGAGAAGAATTTAATAAATAATCATTAAAAAGACAGCAGAATTTTATTCTGTTCTCAATATGTTGCTGCTCTTCTTATCAAATACTATAATAAAACTATATGACTATAATATAGATTTCAGGAGCTAAAAAAAGCCTTATATTTTCAAATAAAAGAACAATATAAATTTTGCAAAATACAATGAGCATTACTGAAGTATAAAGTAAATATTTGGAATTAAAATATATGGTCATTTAGATACAGACTAAAAAAGAATAGAAATCTTAATGATTCCTTTCTGCCTACAGTGAGCTTAAAATTACAACCAAAAATTTTAATAAATATGTAGCACCTACAAGAAATTTTATTAACAGCTTACATAATGTGTAAATTTGAGCAATTTATTTTAGAACTTTTGAATCTGAAAATCACCTGCTTGACATTCATTTGAGAAAGTGAAACATAAAGGAGAGTAACATAAGCAAGACGACAGAATGGGAGGTTCTGCATCCACATCCCCCACGACATAATGCAGCTGCCACAGCAAACATAAGTGCATTCATGAAAGCCTTGGAATCCAGTTCAGAGTTTGTGACACCCAGCTGGAGGCAAAGACCAAGGAAGACATCTTTAGAGGGTAAGCACTTGACCAAGTGGCAAGCTTGCCAATCATGGTCCTCGCTTCAAAACAGAATACTGCCACATCTTACTGTAGACTTGGCTATAACTCATTTGACCTTGGTCCTGACACTGCAACAGTCTGTGGAAAACACAAGAGAATTCATACTCACCTGAGACTTAGATGACAGGCCTGCAGAACTTGGTTCTCTCTATAGTCCCTGAATCAGGCAAAACACACCTTCTTTCCTTCTCCAGCCATGGTCTGGAAGAAATCTTCACATTGATATGATGAAATGCTAACTAACAATATGAAAAATACTAAAGTATAAATGTCACTAAAATGGTAAATACATACTGAATTTCAGAATACTATAAATTGTTATCATCTTAAACTAGACTATTAAAATACAAGATGTTTTACATAAGTCTCATGATAACCAGTAGGAAAAAAAAATAGTAAAGAAAAAGAGAAAGTAATTAAAGCATACACAAACAACAAAAATTACACATTGGATATGGTGTCTCCTGCTTATAATTCCAACACTTTGGGAGGCCAAGGTGGAAGAATCAAATCTCCTTGGGTGTTGTGGTACATGTCTGCAGTCCAAGCTACTTGGGTGGCTAAGGTGGGACGATTATTTGAGCCCAGGAGGTTAAGGCTACAGTGAGCTGTGATATGCCACTGCACTTCAGTCTGAGCAAGAAAGCATAACTTTGTCTCAACAAAAATGAACAATACCACAGGAAAGACAGAACCAGAAAAAAAAGAAGCAAACTTAAAATGGACAGAAAACTACAAATGTACAATAGTAACTGCTTACCTATCACTACCTTACAAATAAAAAGATTAAAGTATCTACTAAACAGATACTGCTGTACACTGAATGTCATCTCCAAAATTTAGGATAAAATTTAATAGCCAACATGTTAGAATTAACAGGTGGAACCTTTAAAAATTAATTAAGCTATAAGCACTCTGCCCTCATGAATGGATTAACGTTCTTATTATGGGAATGGGCTAATTATAACAAGAATGGATCTGTTATATATTAAAAAAAAAAAGCTCTCTCTCCCTCACATCTTTGTGTATGTTATTATCCAGCAACTAGACCTTCAACATATACCAGTATAATGTTGTTTTGGCTTCCCAGCCTCCAGAATCATGAGTCAAATAAAATTCTATTCTTTATTAATTACCAGTGTGTGATATTCTGTTATAGCAGCCAAAAGAGACTAAAGCAGACAGAGTGGATAAATTAATCTTTTAAACCTCATAATATGCTGCTTACAAGAGACTCAATTATGAATTAAGAGCATAGGCTAAAAGTGAAAGGATAGAAAATGATATTCCATGCAAATAATAACCAAAGGAGTGAAATGGTAATGCTTAAATTAGACAAAATAGACTTTCTAGCAATGTCTCTCACAAGAATGAAATGAGTTTACCATACAATAATAGAGGTTAATTTCTCAAGAGAATATAGCTTTATATATTTATGCACCCAAAAGGGAGGCTTCTAAATATAAAAAGCAAATATTGCCAGAACTGTAGGGAGAAGTAGAAAGAAACCCAATAATAGAAAACTTTAACGAAATGTATAATAAAGGACATATAGTTAACAGCATTGTAAATTGGCAAGGGAAAGCTGGTCTCATGTGTTGCGTTTGAGAATGCAGCAAAGAAAGTGGGAACTGATAATTTTACTGCAAGCCTGAGTTAGGATGAAAAACAGGGTGGTCGATTAGAGGTTCCACTTGCCATACATTAAAAAAACACAGGAGAAAACCAGTCCTCCTCTGGAGTGTTAAAATAATTAAAGATCAGAAAATTAGTCTAAAGTGGCTCTAGTGCCCTGTGTTCATAGGTAAAAAACAAAAAACAAACAAAAAAAAATCTAAAACCTAACTCAAATATATTTCCTATAAAACACTATCTTAGCCTGAAGCAAAATGCAGGTTTAACCCATGACAAACATGCAATTAACCTCTGAATATGTAACCAGGACATTTCCATCTGGATAGTTCAAATAAGGCTACCATATAACTGGAACCAATTCTTGAATTTGGGTTGCTTTCTCATGCATCTTATGAAAGCCTTTCCTTTATGCCCCTCTGGTGGACCAGAAATCATGGCTGGGTGCTTTCCATTTCACCAATCACTCTTTGTTCAGATAAACTGATGAACCTTTTAACATAGACTCCCGTTAATTTTTAACACGAGAGACTGTGGACCCCACGGGCCGCAGCTCCTCCCACGCAAACACCCACTCGCGGTTTTTCCCTGATGACCCATCTGGCCTCCCTGAACAATTTGGGAAATACTCATGGCTGTGGGCGCAGAGCAGGGCGCTGCCCAGGGACAGGACCGGATGGGCCGGACGGGACGTGGGGGTCCTCGCTGCTGGCCCAGCGGCCATCTTGCAGCCACAGGGGACTGAGGGCCAAGCTGCGGGAGACTCGGAGCTAACCGTGGGGAGGCCGGTCCTGCCGGTTTCACAGTCTGTTCTCCCCTCTCGGGATGGCGAACCCCGTATACTCACCATTTCCCAGCTTCCAGGATGTCCTGGCACCTTAACTATGCGTCCCCAAGGACCTACAGATCGCAGGGCAACAGGGGCTGTGACAGAGTAGCCCAGGGCTCTCAAGGTGCAGGAGGCGAAAGAGGAGACAGATCCCAAGCTCCTGTGCCAGCACCAGCGAGAGACACAGATCCCGCCAAATGCAGGAAGCCACGCCCTCCTTTCCTCTCCTCTGCCACCGCGCGCCTGATTGGGCGGTTCCCACATCAGTGTCAATGACTGGATAAAACTCCAGGACGCACCCACCCTCGCCTGACTCCTGCCCTTACCCCCACTCCCCCTCAGACTTAGTGCACTTTTGTTAGTTTGTTTTTAAGTTCTGGAATACATGTGCAGAACGTGCAGGTTTGTTACATAGTTTTACATGTGCCATGGTGGTTTGCTGCACCTATCAACCTGCCATCTAGGTTTTAAGCCCCATATGCATTAGGTATTTGTCCTAATTTTCTCCCTCCCCTTGACCTCAACCCCTTAACAGGCCTTAGTGTGTGATCTTTGGCTCCAGGTGTCCATGTGTTCTCATTTTTCAACTCCCACATATGAGTGAGAACATATGGTGTTTGCTTTCCTGTTCCCGTGTTAGTTTGCTGAGGTTAATGGTTCCCAGCTTCATCCACGTCCCTGCAAAGGACATGAACTCATTCTTTTTATGGCTGCATATTATTTCATGGTGTATATGTGCCACATTTTCTTTTTCCAATCTATCAATGATGGGCATTAGGGTTGGTTCCAAGTCTTTGCTATTGCAAACAGTGGTGCAATAGACATATGAGTGCATGTGTCTTTATGCTAGAATGATTTATATTCCTTTGGGTATATACCCAGTAATGAGATTGCTGGATCAAATGGTATTTCTGGTTCTAGATCCTTGAGGAATCACCACACTGTCTTCCATAATGGTTGAACTAATTTACACTCCCTCCAGCAGTGTAAAAGTGTTTCTATTCCTCCACAGCCTCACCAGCATCTGTTGTTTCCTAACTTTTTAATAACTGCCATTCAACATGGTGTGAGAAGGTATCCCATTGTGGTTTTGATTTGCATTTCTCTAGTCTCCAGTGATGATGAGCTTTTCTCTTTTTTGTGTTTGTTGACCACATAAAGGTCCCCTTCTTCTTCTTCTTCTTCTTCTTCTTCTTCTTCTTCTTCTTCTTCTTCTTCTTCTTCTTCTTCTTTACTTCTTCTTCTTCTTCTTCTTCTTCTTCTTCTCCTTCTCCTTCTTCTTTTTCTATTTATTTTACTTATTATTATTATTTTTAAGATGGAGTCTTGCTCTGTCACCCAGGCTGGAGTGCAGTGGAAGGATCTCGGCTCACTGCAACATCTGCCACCCAGGTTCAAGTGATTCTCCTGCCTTAGCCTCCCCAGAAGCTGGGATTACAGGTCACCCGCCAACACATCCTACTAATTTTTTGTGTTTTTAGTAGAAATGCGGTGTCGCCATGCGGCCCAGGCTGGTCTTGAACACCTGACCTCATGATCCACCTGCCTCCACGGCTGAAAGTGCTGGGATTACAGACTTGATCAACCGCGCCCAGCCAAATATCTTCTTTTGAAAAGAGTCTGTTTATATTCTGTGCCCACTTTTTGATGGTTTTTTTTTGTGTGTGTGTGAATTTGTTTAAGTTCTTTGTAGATTCTGGATATTAGACCTCTGACACATGGATAGAGTGCAAAAATTTTCTTTCACTCTGTAGGTTGCCTGGTCACTCTGGTGATAGCTTCTTTTGCTGTGCAGAAGCTCGTTAGTTTAGTTAGATCTCATTTGTCAATTTTAGCTTTTGTTGTGATTGCTTTTGGTATTTTATTCATGAAGTCTTTGCTCATGCCTATGTCCTGAATGGTATTGCCTAGGTTTTCTTCTAGGGTTTTTATGGTTTGGTGTTTTACATTTAAGACTTTAATCCATCTTAAGATAATGTTTGCATAAGGTGTAAGGAAGGGGTACAATTTCTGTTTTCTGAATGTGGCTAGCCAGTTCTTTCAGCACCATTTGGTAAGTAGGAAATCTTTCCCCATTGCTTGTTTTTGTCAGGTTTGTCGGAGATCAGATGGTTGTAGATGTGTGATGTTATTTCTGAGGCCTCTGTTCTGTTCCATTTGTCTATATATCTGTTTTGGTATCAGTACTGTGCTGTTTTGGTTACTGTAGCCTTGTAGTATAGTTTGAAGTCGGGTAGCAGGATGCCTCAAGCTTTGTTGTTTTTGCTTAGGATTGTTTTGGGTTGACAGGCAAACAGGCTCCTATATTTGGGGTCACGTGCCCAGAGTATCACAGCTAATTCAGACGTGAGCTGAGACTTGAAATGCACGTGCTCTTTCCCTTACCTGGGTCTGTTGTATAATGCATCTTAGCAGCTATGTAACAGTACGAATTAGAATATTTAGACATCTTTTTAGCAACTTTTTAACCTGCATTTTTGTAACGCGGTAAAGACCTTCATCCCATCCCTGAGCCCCTCTCTCACAACACTGCACCCCACTGCTGACCACACTGTTGTGTGACCATTAGGAATCAGGGGGGCAGCGGGGGCTGGAAATAAATAAGAAAGGATTATGTTTCCCAAATTTGCTCACCTTAGAAAGTCTCCTCAACCATTCTGTGTGAGGTGATTTTTCCAAGGTAATTGTGCCCTGACTGCGCTGGATGTCAGTGTGTCTTGTCTTTTTGAAAATCACTGGATTACTCTCATGAACGGGGTATTTCTCTTTCTATTTGAAAATGGTCAACTGTCCTCTGCAGGTGTCCTGACTTGCTAGTTTAGACCCTGAAGGTAGCGGTGAGAAAATATTTGGGCCACATCAGAATACCTATTCTCAGCTGGAGGATATATAGAAATTTCTTAATAATATCTAACCATTTTCTCAATAACCATTATATTTAACATTGATAGCTTGGAGGGCAGGGAAGGACACAGATGACACAATCTTCAAAGTTTAATTTAGTTATAAGGTTTTTTTTTTGTTCTTGCTTAGTTTTGCTTAGTTTTTGGATACAAGGTCTTGCTCTGGTGCCCAGGCTGGAGGGCAGTGGCATAATGATAACTCATAATTTGGTTGTAACGGTTCTTTAAAATATATTTTTGCTGAGAGTGCTAGCTCATACCTGTAATCTAAACACTTTGGGTGGCCAAGGTGGGATGATCGCTTGATCCCAGGAGTTCAAGACGAGTCTGAGCAACATAAGTAGGCTCAGTCTCTAGAAAAATATTTAAAAATTGTCTGGGTGTAGCTTTGCATGCCTGTAGTCCCAGCTACTTGAGAGGCTGATTTGAAAGCATCACTGGAGCCTAAGAATTTGAAGATGCAGTGACCCATGATTCAGCCACTGCATTGACAGAGTGAGATATGTGTGTGTCTGTCTGTGTGTGTGTATAAAGAATTTGTATGTGAAAAAAATTCAAGCACAGGAGAAAAGTGAAAGCCCATGGTGGGGGATGTGGAGAAAGGTCACTGTGGCTCCAGCAACTCAGTGAGACTTGGTTTTCCATCTTGAAGAATTGCCCATCCACACTGACACCATAGCCTAACATATGCCAGTTCTCACACTACACCTGCTGGGATACCAGTATGTAGCCTTTTGAAAAAAATAAAATCTTTCACCTAAGAGAAGGACAAGAGAAAACGAGGGTTTCACATCTAAAGCCTTCATTTTCTTTATGAATCAACAGCCACTTGTCATTTCAATTGTCCAGAGGCGACTGACAGCACTAATACACTTAATGAATCAACCAGGAAAAATGGGCCTCTCAGGTGAGGAGGAGGCACAATCGTCACAAAACCCAATCCGTTCTCAGCTTTGCATGGTGCTCGCATCTCAAGAAGTGGTGTTAGCCATGTGAACCGTGTTCACTGGACAAGGCCAGAGGAAAGAATATGTAGTACAACACAACTATGGGGCTGCAAATCAAACTGGTAGTGAGAGCATGCATGAGGCTTCAGTGGCCGAGACACTGGTGGCTACCCTTCGGTGTCACTTAAATCTTTGAGGTGAAGGACATCTTTTTCCCAACTGGCTCAGAGAAACTAATCAACATTAAAATTGAGATTTGTTTTTCTTTTCAAAATTTCTAAGACATAGAGGACTCTCTAACACTCCAAAAGACATTCAGCTATACATGCAGCTGAGGACCTGCCTGCTCTGTAGAGGGATGGCAGAGCAGCAGCCACCAGCTTTAGTAGCTTTAAGCTCCTCTTCTCATAGGAACAGGCCACCCCCACACAACCCCCCTAACTTCATAGGCTCTGGCTGTCAGGTGCACCTGGGGGACTGTCTTCCTCCCATCTCATTAGCTCTCGAAGACAGTTCAGCTCAATGTAAAACCTACCTTAGGATGGTGAGTTGTAGGCTCTCCTCTATTCTCCCAGCGCAGTGTGACTTCTGGAGAGTGCTTCTCCATCCTCTTACCTCAGATGATGTGAAAAGAGCCGGTTCCCGGGCAGTTAGATGTTCAGTGACATAACAGGCCCAGCATGCGCAGGGCCTGGCCCCACAACCTGGCACCTCTCCCTTACCTGGCCTTCAGGCTGGACTTTTCTCTTCTGCCACAAATGTCAGGTGATGATCACCTCTGCCACACTCTCATGAGCTTGGTAAGTATCAGGGGTGTAAACCCCAACAGATTTCCTGTGACTCTACCCTCTTACCACCCACTCAAGTGACATTATAAGCATAATTTTACATTTGATATTATTTATGCGTAATTTTTTTTATAACATTTCTGACAACAGCCCACACAACGAAATGAGTCTGGGTTACAGAACACACGGGCGAGGCTGGGGTAGCAGGCTTCAATTACTTTATTCCAATGTGAAATGAAGATTGATGATTTAAAAACAAGACAAAGTTGTTTATCAGCTGTGGGGTGGCTACACTTGCTAGCTCATGCTCACTTTCTTTGAAACAAGGTATCTGTACAGACCATACTCATAAGTAGCTCTTCACAAAACCCCAGACAGAAGTCCCAGTCAGACACAGCTCCCTCAGGCTCACAGGGCAGCAACCTCCTCCTCCATGTTAGGCTCTGACAGCAGGCAAGGGAAGAAGCACAGGCAGCAGGGGACAGGGAGATGTCCCGGACTGTAGGGATCCCCAAATGCCCCAGAGCTATTATCTGTAGAAGGGTGCACGCAGGTCTCACTCTGACAGTGCAGTGGCTGAATCATGGGTCACTGCAGCCTCAAACTCTTAGCCTCCAGTGATGCTTTCACCTCAGCCTCTCAAGTAGCTGTATGGCAAAAAGCCTCCTATTTTTTTACTTAAAACCTGGACTTCAAGCCAGGTTGGACCTGGGGATAGTGGCAGCAAAAGCAGCAGCCAAATGTATACACTCCAGATGTCTACACTCATGGGCACAGGCATATTCCACTCTTGCTGGAGCACGAGAGGCCTGAGAGGCACCTGTTTCCCAGTTGCTAACTGATGCCCACACACCCCATTCACGTGTCTTCATTTAGGTCTCTGCATCGTGTATTCCCTCAGCCAGTGCAAACACATCTTCTGGGGGGCATCATTAATTGCAGCACCTGCCCCTCTTGTTCTGGGAGGGAGTCAAGAGGAATCTGGTCAGCTCCTAATCCCCCAGGACAAAGGTGCTGCCCCCTTTTCAGCACTCACATCCAGCAATGCCATCTCTGGATGGGTTTTTCAAACACAAGTAGCATGAGGTAGCAAGCATGGTGTGACAGGCTCAGGGCCATGGGCAGCCGGTTGCTGGAGAAGCAGCACAGGGCAGGCACATCTGTGGGTGGCACCATGACAAGCCAAGGCAGCCACAGCCCCTAATCCCAACAGCTCCAGCCCAGTTGGCATTCAAATCTTCCCAGATAGTATTGGGGTACGCGATGCCCATCACTCGCCCGCTCATTAGCACGGCCTTGTTGGTTACTCAGAGACTAAGGAGAGAGAGTGGGGGATGTAGATCCAGGGTGGGCACCGCCTTGCAGCCAGAGTCCACCTGACTGCAGGCCAGCAAGCAAGCCCAAGCAGCTCAGCTCTAGTCACCTCTGGCTGTACTTTATGTGTATACTTTACACAAAGGTAGCAAACAGAGGTCAACATTAGCTGTTGTGACATGAAAGTCTATGCCTCATTAAGACCTTAAAATGCTGTTGTCTTAAGCTCTCTTTATTCCACTAAAATTTATACAAATAAACACATGCAAGCTGAAACTACTATAAAGGAAATATTAGGATTTTTTAAACCCATAAACAGACATGAAAACAGTCACTGTTTGATTGCAGAGAAAGTGAGCTTCTAAAGCAGCTGACCACAAAACAGCCTCACCAAACCCCAGGCAGGCCAGGCAGTCTGAACACTACAAGGCCACGTGATGGTCACAGAGGATGACAGCTCCCGTGAGTATTGCAAGGCACTGTGTTAGCTTCTCACTCACAGTCTCAGAATACCCTGTGAGGGGAGGCCCCGTCTCACTAGAGCACAGGAGGTTCCTGAGCTCTTCCCAGAAAATGGTCATCAAACGATGGAGCAGAGGGAAGCCCAGACAGAACAAGTGAGTCCCTAGGGTCTCCTTAACCTCCCTCAGCTCCTCCACATGGGTCCCTGAGGGAAAGTGAGCAGCCTCCTAACCCCCTTGATAGGGTTCCAGTCCTGCAGGTCGGACTCTCTCATTTTATGCTACCATAGGGGGTGACAATGCAACCCCAGGCCCCTTATTTGCCATCCCTCAATGCCAGGCCAGGCCCAGAGCCCTTTGCTAACACAGCCCAGGGGATGCTCAAGGCCCACCTCGGCACAGTCACCTGTAGTGTACTGAGATGAGCAAGGAGGTGCAAGTAGACACAAATCCCCATGGGCTTGGCCTCAGCCATGTTCCACAGGCTCAGGGCCTCGCAGATGAGCTCACAGCCCTCCTTCAGGAAGCCTGCAGATCACACCCTCAGGGAGCAGTGCTCAGATGAGCAGGCAGGCCCCACATCCCCCACCCCATGACGCTCTGTTCCACTTTGCAGGCTTCTGCATTGGCCAGTCCCCACTGCTTTCTGGTGAGATGTCCGAGTTGAAGTGAATGTTGAAGGCCACACAGCTGATGGAGCTCACTGCCTTGCACATGTTGTAAATCACCTCCTGGCTTCAAGGGTCAGCTGTGGAGACACAGCTTGATGGGAGGTAGGCCCACTCCACCATCAGTGGTGCTGGGTTGCCCTGATCTGCACCTTCCAGATACTTGCTAAGATATCTGCATGCTTCTCTAAGGGACTGGGTCACGAGACACCCCTGGCAAGGACCAGCTGGCAGAACAGGCTGGACACTCTCCCTCAGCCTCCCCAGCAGCCCCACCTGTGCTGTCATCTGTGCTGATGATCTCCGTGGTAAGATTATGGGAAACTTTTACAGCAAGTTTTCCTTTCTCACTTCCCTATCTTAATAACAGCACTGATAACTTTTAAGCCCTAGCAAGCTGAAACTGCAAGACACATGATCTTCTGCCTTAGAAGGGCCATGTTTGGGCAGTGGGTGCCCAGGTGAGAGCCCCATGGTTGTTAGTGGCAGCCGGGAGCTGGATGGGCCTGCCCCATAGCCTAGTGAAAAGTGGGACCCTCTCCTTCCAGAGCATGGAAGTCTCAGAGGCTGGAAAAAGGTGCCTAAGTGGCCTGCCAAAAAGCATAAGGCTAGAAGGCCTGGAAAGAGCCCCAACAGCCTTCAAGCTGCCTGAGAGGGCTGGGCTCATTCCAGCTTTCTTTGCTTTCATCCTGTTAGCAAGAAAACCTGCTCACAGATGGCAGGCGGGCCTGAGGCTGCCATTCCCTCATCAGGGGCTATAGGCACCTTTAATGTGGCTCTTTCTTGAAGCAGCTGCTCAGGCCGGTTCTCGAAGAGCAGTTCCCTCATTATCCACAGGTCCTTCTTCCAGCCCCGTGTCTGCAGAGGGACTAGGGAGGGAGACAAGGGCTCAGCCTGTGCCCCACAACCTGCTTTGAGACATCTCTTTTGTTACTTCCTCACAGACAGCCTGAAACTTCCAAATGAACAGACCAGAATGGAGCCTCCAGGAAAGTGTACAGAATTCTGTCTAGTACCCAGAAGGAAGGGGGTTCCCAGTGAAGGCAGGGCCAGGCTGCATGCACCTCTTCAAAAATGTTCTCCTCATAGTCCACGCTCAAGGTGTACATCCTCTGTGTGCTTGCAGTCCATGGCAGCCTCTGCCTTGGGAACAGTCCAGCTGCACACCTGCAATATGGTGGTGACCCTCTTGAATGGATGGTTCTGGGCCCCATTGCAGACAGCAGATAGGGAGATGCTCAGCCCATCAAGCCCAGAGCCCTGCCACAGGCTTCTGTGAGGCCTCCACCTGCTCTGGGTTCTTGCCCTGAGAGGCTGCCCTGAAGTCAAACAGAAGCAGGTGGGACTCTCTTCCACAGCTGCTCTCTCTCCCACTGACAGCTCCCTAGAGGGTAACTCAGACAGAGAAGATAGAATTCTCAGGCAGAAGGACAGGAGTTTCGGCTGCCGATTCATTCCATACCCCCACATGACATGACACAAGGCAGGGGCTGTGGGACAAAGGCATTGCCTTTCCTTCTGGCAAGAGGAATGCCTTAGGAAGCAGGTCTGGTGGGGCTAGGGTTGAGCGATAGGCTTCAGGCCACAAGGAGTGGATGGACACTGAGCAAGTATCCTGGTTATCTGTCCACAGATCCAGAACAAGTGGCATCCCAGGAGCCTGGGAGGGGCTGGCAGAGACTTACTGTGTCCAGCAAAAGCCCCATGTGGATGCGGTAATGCTGCCTGCTGGTCCTTGTCTGTAATTACAAACAGGTACATGAGGTCCCCATGGATCTTGCAGCTCTCAGGGAGTGGGTTCCAGCTGCTCATGTTAGGCACTTTTAGTCACTGAACGTGCTTCAGGAATGGCCAAGTTTGATTAAGCCAGGCGTCTTGCTGTGAGACCCTCCACCCAACTGAGGACCCTCTTCCTTGTCCCCCCTGACAGTTTACCTTCCAGTTCTGGTTCTGGAGACACGATGGCCCTTCTTGGGCCCCTGGGAGAATGTGCTCAGATGACACACAGTCGACAGGGCCCATTTCCAAGCCATTCTTCCATTTCCCACTGTTTGAGGGGCCGAGGCCGGTGATCAGCACAGGGCCACCCAGGGCCAGCTGTCTGCACCTAAACGTCATGTTGGTCTGGATGTCTCAGGGCCAGAACTCTCCAGGTAAGATGGCCTGGTCCTCAGCACCTGGCCTCCATGCTCCTTTTTCCTCTGTTCAATCCTGGCCCCAATGCCTCCCGCAACTCTCAGGTCACCATTGGAGAAGATGCTCAGGAAGAACAAGGAGCTGCAGTCAACCCTGCTGAAGGTGGCATATGGGTCCAGGCTCTTGAGCTGGTCTTCGACATGGTACATGTGGATGCAGGCTTTGAGCAGTGTGAGTAGCTCTTTCCGGAAGGAGGGGAAAACGGTGTTACCAGGGTCCTACACCCTAGAACGACCCATCTAGCACAGAAAACAGTTTGCAACGTGCTATTATGTGTGATTTTAATTTTGGGCTTTAGGCTTTCATTTCCAAATTCCACAATAAACACATAAGGTGGGGTTCTGATTTCAACACACACACACACACACACACACACACACACACACACACACACATTCTCTCTCTCTTCCTCTCTCTTAGAATCTTCCAGTGAATTCACACTGAAAGCCGAAGTCCTCCCAGAATCTTGTGAGAACCTAAATGATCTGAATAGTTTGTCATTGCTTTTAGGGATCTGGGAAAATCTCTGCACATTTCTGGAGACCGCTGTTATGCCATTTTTAATAAATCTGTTGTGCTTCAATTCAGAAGTGTGTGAGGGGAGTTGTGGAGGAATTGGCATTTGGGTTAGAAATTCCAGGAACAACAGAGACAGATGACACCTGTTTTCTGCTTCATAATGTCAAGTTTTATGAAGGCTAAAACCTAATTCTACAAAAAAAATTAGACTGAAAAACTTTATAGGCAAAAATTATCTTATTAAATAGGAAAATCTAATTATTTTATTTTAAAATTTTCTTTTCCTTAGTAGGACCTAATCATAGAAATTTAAACACTGTATGCCAACAGCCTCTACTGTAGGATGGTTTATTGTAAGTACTCATTTTACAGATTTCTTACAAAAACTTTTTCCGTAAGAGAAATTAGAATATTGTTCAACATATATTGAATTCACAATTATTACCTTATTTCTCACTTATTATTTTATGATTCTGTTTTCTTTAATATGAAGATTACTATGACTGTGTTTTCACTTTCTGAATTATCATGTGTCACATTTTTCTGTAATTTCAGTTTGAGAAGTTGTAAAACAGCATGCTCAAATGTATATGTTATGTATCAATTATATAATTAATTATTAAAATATTTGGCTTGTATGTTTAATTGACTCTAGGCACAATATTACTATTAGCATTTTCTTCCAGTTTTCCCAACTTTTATTTGACTAATAGTACAATTTATTTCCAGTTTTTATTTTATCTGTCAATGTTTTATACTGTATTTACAATATTTATATTGTTACCATATGTAAAAATGTAAGACCTTTCTATTAAAGGCTAGATTACAGCCTTACCCTTTTGTGTAAGGAAAGAAGCAATGCATCAGTAGCATAATTTAAAACTTTCTCTAGTATTACTTAAATTTTTATTCCTTAAAACTTTCTCATCACATCTCTTTTTAATAATTATAATATGGTTTCTTTGAAATGTTGTTGCCCTAATTGTATCCAAGTAATTCAAAATTTATACTTTTTATGGATTCAAAGGAAGAGTTGAAAATTGTAGTTACCTAGGATTCTTTTTCAGTTGGACACTATGTTTATTCAGGATTTTATAGATCAAAGTTTCTCTTAATTATGTTTTAGAATTTATGTTTCTGTATTTTTTAGAGTAGGCTGTCTCACAGCAGTTAATTGTGTTTTTACTTTCTACCTATTTATTATGATTTTGAATTACATTATTCAAGTAAGAATTCGGGGAAGGTTTCTTTTAAGTTTGTTTTGCAATTTTGCATTTCTGTGTTTCATGTTTTAGGGTAGGGCACCTTACATCAGTTTATTGTTTTTAGTTTGAATTTATATAATATAATTTTCTATGACAATATTCAAATCTGTACAGCTTAAGACAGTGTGAGGCAAAAAATATGAAGCATCCCTATGGTCTTTTGTTAATATAATGATTTAATTGTTTGTTTGCTTGTATAAATATTGCCCCTATTTTGTTTATGACTTGTGTATTTTCTTCTTGTTTGATGGACAATAATTGATTCTGTCTAAGTGAGTAATCATGGAAATTGTCTTAATTTCAACATCTATTGTTTATATTATCCTAGTGTGAAAGAAAGACTTATGCGATTTGAAGATAATTTTTCAAAAACTTTGTAACTCTCTCTCTTCAGGTGTCTTTACTTATTTATTTTTTGACAGACTCTCACCCTGTCGCCAAAGTGCAGTGGCACAATCTTGGCTCACTGCAACCTCCACCTCCCAGGTTAAAGCAATTCTCCAGCTGCTGCCTCTTGAGTAGCTGGCATTAAAAGTGTGCACTACCACGCCTGGTTAATTTTTGTGTTTTTCATAGAGCTGGGGTTTCACCATGTTGGCCAGGCTGGTCTTGAACTCATGGCCTCAAGTAATCTGCATGCCTCAGCCTCCCAGAGTGCTGAGATTACAGGCATGAGCCATCTCTCTTGGCCCTTGGGTGTCATTTTTAATTTCGATTGTGGTAAAAATACATAACATAAAATTTAGAATCTTTAATATTTTTTCTTATACAGTTCAGTCATGTTAATGTATTTACATTGCTTTGCAACATATTTGTAAAACTTTTTTCTTTTGCAAAACTGAAACTCAGGACACATGAAATGACAACTACCCATTTTCCTTACAACCTGGCTCCTGATAAAAATCATTCTATTTTCTGTTTCTAAGTTTCAATACTTTAGATATTACATATAAGTAGAATCATAGAGTATCTGTTTTATTGTGACTAATTTTACTTAGCATCATGTTCTCAAGATTTCTCTTTATTGTGGATGGTACAAGATTTTCTGCCTTTAAAAGCTGAGTAATATTCCATTACTTTTGTATTACAAATTATATTTATTTATTCATTCTATGAGGAAAGTTTGTGTTGCTTTCACCTATTGGCCTTTGTGAATAATGCTGCAATGAATATTGGTATGCAAATAGCTATTTGCTCATATGTATGAGGTTTACATGTGTGCTACCTTCTGTTTTATTGGAAAAATTGTCTGTCTTTATGCTAGAAACAAACTGTTTTCATTGCTGTTGCTTTGTAATGTGCTTTGAAATCAGAAAATTGAGGCCGCTAACATTGTTTTTTTTTAAAACATTTTTGGGCTCTTTATGGTCGCTTGACATTCCATATAATTTGTTGGTTCCTTTTTCTATTTCAAAAACATTGCTAATTTAAAAGGGATTGCATTGAATCTGTAACTCGCTTTAGGCATCATGAGCATTCTTCATAATATCAAGTCTTACAACCCTTAAACATGAGCATGCTCAAAAGTGAGTTGTTTAATTTCCATATATATGTTGCTATTTTTGTTTTCTTCTGTTATTCATTTCTAGTTTTATTCCATTTTGATCAGAAATAATAGTCACTGAAAGGCTAAACCACTCTGGGAAGTGACCCCCATTATAGAACATTACAAAGAGATGTGAGGGCACCACTTCTGCCCTGATGGGCTAGAGGGATGTGTTCTCTGAGATGACACGTTGCAGACAAATGCAGGGAACAATATAACCCCCTTTTCATGTAAACTCTTCCTTATTTTTCTAGAGTATTAGTGATAGTGGTGGCTTTGAAGTCTTGGGGAAGGTCTGGCAGTGCCGTGAACCTGCCTGCTACAGGTGATACCAGGGGGGAAAAATTAAAACCATACAAACTGTAGAAACATGAATAAATACAGCCTAGTGTAAAGTAAAAACAACACAAAGGCCTTCTCTGATATTTCTACAAGAATGTAAAAAGGGACTTTACACTTAACCAAGCTGCCTTTGGGACTAGTTAAGGCTAGATTTTTGGGAGGCACATCTTTGGGTCACTCATGGAAATCCCCTAAGAGAGAGCCCAGAGAAATTCCATATTTGGGTCTGGATCCTGGGCCCATCCTGGTTTTGTCAGACCCCTGTCTGTAGAGACCCCCATGTGCCTGCTCTCACCGTAACTCACTGTATGCCATGCTTGGGGGTGTGGTGAACCTGCCAGTTGTCCAAGGAGATGGGGGACTTGAACCCATCAAATATCTGCTCAATGATTTTAATGAAACTCTACAGAGAGTGTTCCCAGCAGTGAAGCAGGAAAAAAAAAAAAAGAAAAAAGAAAAAAAATTAATTATCTCCTTTGTTTTTACCACCAGGTGACATCTCCATTAGAAATTCTGTTTCCTAGATCAGGAACATAGGAGTATCTGCATAGACCCCCAGCCAATGAGGAAACCCGAGGACAGCTTAAGGCCTTGGGATTCACATCTGAGTAGACACACTTGGTCCACAATGCTCAACTTTTTATTCCACCAGCCATGACCTGGGTATGAACATGACATAGCCGCCAGGGTTCCAATGCCTTACAGCCTGCCCCTGTGAGAAAGAGCCCCCTCCTTTCCTGCTCCCCCTGCAACACATGGTAATGGTAGACAGGGTCGGGTTGCCCAGATTAGATGACACGGGTGGCCTGGCATGGACGGACCTGACCTGGGCTTCACTGTGTTACCTCTGTTTGCCTCTTGTTGAATGGCCAGTGGTATCAAGGATGTGGGCTGAGCCAATATGTATATGGTCAGAAAAGTCTCTCACTTTGAACCTTTCTCAGGCAACAGCTTAGGAATATAGCACACAATGAGAACACAGTACTCTCTCAAGCATCTCCCATGAAATTAGCTAGATAGAGGGCTCTCTCTAGAATGTGGGTTTCTGTTTCCCAAAGTTCTAAATTCTGTTAGGTTCTGTCACAAGGGAAGTCTGTTAACTTCTTCAAGGTTTTATCCCCTGAGCCCTTTTCCTCCATAAATCTATGCAAAGTCCCTACTGGGCTGCTGATTGCTCACCCTCATCTCCCATGTCAACTCTTTTCCTGTAAACAGTTATGCAAACACAATTATGCCTCTTACTCCCCAAAAAGATCTAAATACAGCCAGGGCCCCAGGTTTGAGAGAACAGAGTTGGATTAAAATCTTCTTTTCCTTTTCATTTCTGTGACCATATGAAAATGACTGTGTGCTTCAGTTCTCCCCAGCCCTGAAGTATGCATAATGGGATTAGGCTAGCATCAACTTCCAGAAAGAGTCATTGGCGATATATGAGATAGAATGAATCAAAATCAGTTGGATGTAGTTGCTCTTGCCTGTAATCTTAGCAGATTGGTAGACCAAGATGGGTGGAACACTTAAGGCCAGGGGTTTGAAACCAGCCATGGCCAGCATGGCAAAAACCCTTCTCCACTAAAAATGCAAAAATTAGCCAGATGTGTTGATGCTTGCCTGTAATCCCAGCCACTCAGGAGGCTGAGGTGTAAGAATCACCTGAGCCAAGGAAGCAGAGATTACATTGAGCCTTGATCATGCCTCTGCACTCCAGCCTGGGTGACATAGCGAGACTGTGTCTCAAAAAAATATATATACTATGTATATATAATTTATATTTATATATTATATATAATATATAAACTTATACATATACACCTTTATGTATAAAAGATATATATTTCATATATCTGTATACATAAAAGATATATATTTTATATATATGGCCTTATTTTTCCATTCTACAGCAGAAGAGGTTGAAATCAAAAGAAAATCAGATACTGTATTCTGGCATTAAATATTCCAGTGCTGTGCATTATATTTGGAATCACATGTATATGCTTCATCTCAGCCTATGTGGTGGGCACCCCCAACAAAGTCTCACAACAACACTAAGTTGTGAGTGACTCTGTTATTTAAAAACGCAGCTCACCGCTCAGTGCCTCAGAAGCCGGTACTATAACACCGGGTTTCCAACAAAGACATTGGATTCCAGCTGAAGCCTCTTTCCCTGTGCTTACTTAAAGGTAGTAATATTCTCAGAAAGGTTTAAGAGGTGGCTTCTTGTTTAGCAGGGAATTGCTGAAAGGAAAAATGTATGGAAAGTCACTGGGCATGAACAGCCATCTTTTCCTGCTACACACAGGTCATGTGCAAATTTGGGGACAGTTAGTACAAAACATGTGATGGAAATTTGGGCTCTTACATCAGTGAGCTTATTTCACACAGACTCCAGTTGACCATATTGGTTCCAACCAATTTTAGCCACTTTTTAGAAGTCTCATAAGTGGAATAAATTTCATTCTTTCAACAAGTTCTATCTTTTCTTATCTGTCATTCTGCAAACTGAAGAATTTCTGCTAGTCGTTGGTTGAACTCTTTGGGGACCTGGTTCTAGTTTCTGTCAAAGAGAATACAACAAATGTGATAGGTTATCACTTCTGACTTAGTTCAGGCTTCTATACCAAAAAACATAGACTAGGCAACTTATAAACAAAAGACTTTAGTTCTGGAGGCTAGAAATTTGAGATTGGCTTCCAGCATGGTTGTGGTCTGGTAAGGACTCTCTTCTGAGTTTCGAACTCCAGACTTCAGGTTGTATTCTCATTTAGCAGAGAGAAGGACAGACAGCCTTCTGCGGTTTCTTTTACAAAGCCAGTAATCTCTACCACGAGGGCCTCATGCTTAGGACTTAATTACCTCTGACCTGCTAAGGCCATTAAACTGGGGATTAATGTTCTGGAATGTGAATATGGTGGGGAATCACATAGTCTACTGCAACTTCCAAAGTTATATTTCCAAAACAGCTATTATTTTCCTCCCACTTGCTCTGTCCTGTGTTTCGTCTCTCAATCTCTCTGTCTCCCTTTCTCTTTTTCTGTGCATATGTCTGTCTATCTCTTTCATTTTCCATCTCTCTATTGTATTCTTCAAGATGAGGAAGCGATCTCCAGTGTCCTAAGATGCTCTAGGCACAGACCCACATGATAGAGAACTGAGGAACTGCCCAGGCCAATCAACAGGAAGAAACTGGTGTTCTCAGTTCACACTGAATCCTGCCAATTTCCATGAGGCAGATTGGAGGCTGATCTCTCCCCAAATCCAGCTTCAGTTGAAATCACAGCCCCAGCCTCATAGGGGACCTTGAGGCAGAGGCACCCAACTAAGCTATATCGAGATTCTGATTCACAAAAATTGTGAGATAGTATTTGTTGTCAAAATGTGCTAAAATTCAGGGCAATGTTGTCAGAGAGCGGCAAATGACTAATCTCCTCTTTCAGGCCCCAGGATACACCCTCCCCTCTTTTCCTTTCTTTCTCAGGCTGCCTACAGCCACACTTGTCCCTTTATAACCTCCTCTGCTAAACTGACTTGTGCCTCTGAGTCTTTTCACAAAGAGTGGCTTTTCCCTGACACACTTTCCACACCTGCGCAGTTGTCATTCTCGTCACAACATAATGTCACCTCAGGGAGGCATTCATGTCTCCTCCAGGCAACCTCTCCCCAGCCCTCCCTCCCAACATTCTACTTTATTTCCATTATAAAATGCTCTTTTCTTTCGCATGTACTTGCTTTAGTGTTTTTGTCCTGCCGTCCTCAGACTGTAGGCTCCCCGCGGGGATGCAGGGATAACATAATCGTTTTTGGTACCACATGGTGAACCTACCAAGGTAGCTGCCACAGGGTGAGTGCTAGGGGAAGAGTCGCTGAGTAAAATAACATGGAAAATCACAAAGTCCTTCCTGCTTTCGGTCACCCAATAATGTGGAGATCAAGAATGATAACAGGAGCTGCAGGCCCTCAGCCTGTCTCTCCCACGGCTCCAGCTACTCCAGTCAAGTCCAGCGGGCACAAGAAACACGGGGTCTGCAGCCACCTAGAGACCTCCGCTAGCACTGTAGTCCCAGGCAGAAGCATCACAAAACAGGTACCTGCACTGGGGAATTCTCAAGGCAGTGGCTCTTCAGGGACCCCTGGGAAAAGGAGCAGTATCTGAAGGCTCCAAGGGCCATAAAAGTGACCTCGGAAGCCTCCCTTGATTCCTATTTTCCTCAGCCTCTTTGAGTGTGCTGTGCACTCATTAAACATTTTAACAGCATTCGGCGACATTATTTTCTTCCACTTCCGAATGAGGACCTCAAGGACAGCCCAAAAAACTAGTATTTTTTCTGGGCCCCACACTCCAGAGCCCAGTGCATTGTCACATTGTGCTTTATTCCAAGTCCTCATCCGCCCAAGTCTCTAGGCCTCTCTCTTCTCTGAAGGACCTCTAGAAACTGAAAAGCCTCTTCCCAGAGTCTCAAAGCACAGTGATTTACCAATGAAAAGCCAAGGGCGGCAGACACCTATGAGTATCTAGAATCCTTGGTATTATTCCTTCTCAGTACCCCTATTTATGAGGGAGAAAACAAAGGCTTTCTTTCCCGTAGCCTGTCTTTATATCACACGGGGTGGTGGGTGGAGGGCATAGCTCATTTTAGTTCCAGGTGCCCACAGAAGTGGGAGTCACAACCCCAGTCCTGTCCTCTTGAAACAGCTGGGAAAGTCCCCAGGCTTGGAAGAACCCAGGGAACCTGGAGGATCCTTCATCGCATGCTGTCAGCTCCTGGTCATGTAGCTGGGGGAGTGGATGCCTCTGCCTCATGGCAAAGCTGCATCTACTGTTTCTTCCCCTTTTGTCACTTCTTTGGTTTCCTCTTCCCTAACCTCACTTTAGAATCTCCACTTTAGATCTCCAATTTAGAAGCCTGTGTGTGTGTGTGTGTGTGTGTGATGTGTTTGTGTGTGCATGCCTGCACGCCTATGTGACAACATTGAAGAGTAGAAAGCCCAGGTAGAAAGTAGAGCACAGGGTTTTCCAGGACTCATGGGCTCTCATTTCCAAAGCAAACCTGATGGGTGGGGTGCATGCAAGGCCTAGGAAGCTGGATCCCTCCCTAATACTCTGTGCTTTGCCCAATTTGTGGGATCTGGACCAGTCTTTGCCTTTTTGGGAGGTCTCAGTCTTCCTGTTGTAAAATAAAGAGTTGGCTACAAAACTGTATGAGCACATGCTCAGTGAAGACAGGGTGTCATGCTCAATACCACAGAGAATATTGGGATGGGGAAAGTTTGGGCAGACTTAGGTGTCCATGCGTGCTCAGGCCTCTGAACAGGGCCAGTGCAGGCAAACATAAAGCACAGCACAGCCAGGTTTTCTTTCCAGGGCTACAGGATGAAACAGTGCACCACAGGATCTGCTCTTGAGGTCGGTCCCGCAAGATTTTCCCACCTTCAACCAGCAACTGTTTGATGAATTTCATGTCCTGTGAAGCCCATATCCACCCCCATTACAGTGAGGGGCACAGGGCACTAGACCTGTAAAATAATGTCTTTTGCCTTTTTTTCTTTTCTTTTCTTTTTCTTTTTTTTTTTTTTAACTGAGTGGATGTTTCTTCTTTCTCTTTATCTGTTTTGTTTGTTTTTTAACTAATTTTTAAGAGGTCTTTACAGGTCAGCTGTGGTGCCTCGCACCTGTAATTTCAACACTTTGGGAGGATGAGGCAGGTGGATTATTTGAGGTCAGGAGTTCAAAACCAGCCTGGCGAACCTGGTGAAAATCCGTCTCTACTAAACTTACAAAAAAATTAGCGGGGAATGGTGGCCCAAGCCTGTAGCCCCAGCTACTCAGGAGGCTGAGACAGAAGAATTGCTGAAACTTGGGAGGCGGAGGTTGCAGTGAGCCGAGATTGCACGACTGCACTCCAGACTGGGTGACAGAGTGAGTCTCTGTAAAAAAAAAAAAAAAAAGAGAGAGAGAGAGGGAGAGAGAGAGTGCTCTTCATGGAAACATGAGCCCCTTTGTAATTTCATGTGTTGAAAATATTTATTCCAATTTTGCAATTTCTTTTCTTATTGTGGTGTTCTCTTTAAGTTTGGTTTAGATGTTATTAGTGTTTCTCCCCAAATTGATTTATTGATTTCCATTTTCACAATACAATATTTTGGCAGAAATCTTGTGGAAACTGTCTAATCAGTTTAAAAATTTAAATACATATTAAAAAATCAAAGAACTGTAAAAACTGTCCTGAAGAATGACAAAGTTTGTGAGCTTACAATGCCATATATTCAGACTTAGATTAAAGCTATAGTAATAAAAGCTATCTATGGTAGTAATGCAAAAATAGGCACAAAGAAAACTAGAAAAACTCGAGAGTCCAACTCAGACTCACACATTTAGACATTTTGTATATTACAAAACAGGCACAGAAGAGCAGTGGAGAGAAGACAGCATCTCGGTAATTAGCCTTGGGTCATCTGGTTATTTATGTGAGAAAGAAATAAACCTATCTTATATTGTTAACAAATTTCGAGACAAGTGGATTTTAAATTTTAAGGTGAAAATTGAAAACAATATTTCTAGTAGATAACATAGATAAGTATGTCCATGACTTTGGCACAGGCCAAGATTTCTTGGGACACAAAATGCATAAATTATCAAGACAAAAATATGACAAATTGGACTTTATTAGAATTAAAACCTTCTCTTCATAAAAAAAAAAGCTTCAGGAGAGCTGAAAGGCAAGAACAAAGTGGAAATCAACATTTGTCATATATTGATCTGGCAAAAGCTTTTTATCTAGATTATTAAGCTAAATCCCATCACTTAATAAACAAAGATGCATACATTGAACAAAATTGGCAAAGATATGACTAGGAGTTCCACATACAGAACCGAAGGGCCAACAAGTAGATGAACATATCCACATTCTTATGCATCAGAACAATGCATATGAAAACTACAATTGAATACCACTATGCAATCATTAACATTTTTGAAAACTGACAAAATTAAGTATTAGTGATGATGTCAAGCAACTGGAACTTTCTTATACCATTCTGTGTGCAAACTGTTATAACCACATTCAAAACCACTTGAGTAGTAACTCCTTACATACACGATGTACATAAGCACACTCTAGAACCCAGCAACTCTGCTACTAGGTATATACACCCAATAGAATTGCCAGCATATTTTCCAATGTAGTAAAGTGCTCGAAGTAGCATTATTTGGTACTTTTCCAAACTGAAAAAAACTCAAATGTGCATCAATAATAAAATAAATAACTAAAACAGCTACATATTCCTTTATAAGGGGACATTATACAGATATAAAATTAATTGGAGACATATTAAAATATACAAAAATCTAACAAATACAATTTAATTAGATTTAAAAGTCCTATCCAGAGCAATCGGCCAATAAAAAAGAAAAAGGCATACAAATAGAAAAAGAAATTGAATTCTCTTTCTCCATTTGCAATATGAGTCACTACGTAGAGAATGCTAAAGCCTCTCCAAAACTACTTTTGGGGAAAACTTGAAAAGCCTCCTGAAACGGATAAGCAAGTAAAGTTTTAGGACACAAAACCAATGTACAAAAATAAGCAGCATTTCTATGCATCAACAACTTTGAATTCCTGAACATCTTCTGGTTTTATTGCATTTTCAATTTTTTCCCTCCATTAACTATACATTTTTTCTTTTTTCAGCTAAACTAATTTATTCTTCTGTATAATTTCACCTTGTTAATAAACCCCAGGCCAAAAAGTGGGAATAAAGTATTTGTCTGCATCCTGTTTCCTCATTTTGAAAACTAGTCTAGACGAAACCTATACTTGTTCTAGGGAGTTGGCATAGACAGCATTTATTTCCGTTCTCAGCAGTGATGCCAGCCAGAAAGAGGGAGTTCCCCATTTTCACTTTGGTTAGACAGGACTCTGGATGGTTGAAGGGGAAAAGTTTCAGACTCTAAGGGAGCCAAATAGGATATTACAAAGATTTATGCATTTACTCCGGGAGCAATTATTGTGTTAAATTTTGTGCAAAACACTGCGCAAACAGCAATTAAAGTGAAAATTATTAAGGCATTACCTTTACCTTGGGAAACTCACACTAGTCAGATTCTCCGAACCCCAGAACATAACAACAACCTAGTAAAATCTTGTTCAGAGTGAAGAGAGGGTGGGAGCAGGAAGGTAAGGTTAAAAATTAGGCTGGGTGAATGAGATAATTACCCCTAGTCAAGCAGTGGAAGTATGGATGGCTTTGGGATGGGTGAAGACAAAAGAATCTCAGCAGAGGGTGCAGATAAAAAAAGGCAGAAACACAGGAGGCTTATGCAGGAAGAGGAATGAGTTTGCTGGACTGGGGAGAGTGACAGTAAAAAGCAGAGGATAATAGGCATCTCTGGTCATCTAGGGACTATAGGGTGGATTAGTTGGGGGTTACAGAATCAGTGAGGTACTTTTTAACAGTAGGATGGGTAAATAAGAGCTATAATTTGGAATAATTATGTAGCAATGGTGGTTAGGAGCAATAGAAACTCAAAGTATTACATAAATATGTTTTTTTCTTATTCTCCCACACAAGCCTTTCACCTTCCCTCTTAAACTGAGAACGGAGTGGTTTGCTATGATGTTTTTAAATTCTCACAGGCAAGCATTACTCTGTGCTGCCTTTTAATAAAGGCTAATTTTAACCAAATTAAAGAAGATTGAATGGATTTTCTTGATCATAATGGTTGAGTACAACATCTCTTACCTTCTACTAGTTTTCAGTATAACTGAAGTAACAGAATGTCAATACTCCATGGAGGGGTGTTCCTCTTGCTAAGGCTCCCTCCTCTGGGCTAGGCCTTCTACACCATGGCTGTCCTGCTGTGGCTGGAGCTGGAATTTGGATTGACCTCTGTGTGTCTTCCTAGCACACAATAGGTGTCCAATTAGCATGGGCAGAATCAAGCTCCTCCCTCTCACCATTTATTTCTCCATTTGTCCCTTGTTGGGAATGGAGAGTCCTGCCACTGAGTTCAGCCCAGGGTTGAAGTTCAAATCTCAGCTGATACTTGGTGGATGTTGACTTTTTTGAGAAGAACTTGGGAGAATAAAACATTATAAAGGCGCTGGCCAGGCACGGTGTCTCATGCCTGTATTCCTGGCATATTGATTGGCTGAGGAGATAGAATTGCTTGAGGCCAGGAATTTGATACCAGCCTTGTCAACATAGTGAGACCCCATTTATACAAAAAACTTGAAGCATTAAAAACATTTAGCCTGGTGTGATAGTTCCAAACTGTTGTCTCAGCTATGCTGGACATTGAGGCAGAGGATCACTTGAGCCAGGAGTTCTAGGCTACAGGGAGCTATGATCGTGCTGCTGCACTCCAACCAGGGCAACTATGCAAGATGTTTCAAAAATAAAATCTTTTATTATTCTTCACCCCTATAGTCTCTCCAGAACTTGTGCACTATGTAGCAGAAAGAATCAAACTCCCCAAGAGTTTGGTTCTTGCTTATGATTTGGTTTTCTGCTGCTTGGCTGCCCCCTCATTTCCCCATTTTGTATAAATAAGAACCCCCAGGTGAAGTGGAGTTTCTCCCCAGCAGAGGGTCTCACCAAGGCCCCAGGACTGGCACTTTAGGTGGAGGCTTGCCTTTCAACCTCTGAATAATAATTGATACTAAAATTGAGAAGTTTTCCAGACACCAGCTTCCTGAAAGGAGCACCCAGTCGAGACAAGATGAGGTCAGTAGCGAAGGTGACCCAGGCTGAGTGGGCCGTACATTCCTCTACTTTTCCCAAACTTCCCTCTGACATCCTACAAACTTTCTGTCTTCCCAGGACTTTCTTGCCAGGGAGTCTAATGAAGTAAAAGCTTTAAAATTGCTTTGATTTTAAAAATAATTTTATTGGTTCTTAAAATGTACTGTTAAATATTACTGTTTTTCTTCCCCCAGGGGCTACGTGAACATAAGCTCGGTTTTCACACTAGCAGCATTTAGAAATGTCTCTTCTGGAGGAACACTGATGCTCTCAATCACACGTGGTAATTCTCTCCTCCAGGCACAAAATGCAGTCTCAGCATCTCTGTATCAGGAGTCACTGTCTAAGTCTCTCCAGAGAAATAAGCTACCCAGGCCATCCAGCTGCTGGTGAGTTGCTTTGTGGTCATGAACTGGGTAGATTTCCTCATCTCATGCTCATTGGCCACATTCAGGATTAATGATTCAATGCTTTTGTTGTTCCAGAAGCTGTGGTCAGTGGCTATGCAGGAGTCAGTCTTTCAGTGCTGATCTTTGCTGAGAAAATAATAGTATTGTTCAAACAGTATATAGGATTTGCACTCAATATTTAATAATTTAGTGACAAAAATCTCTTAAATATACATTATACTGATATAAAATAAGTTACTCATCTATTATCAAATTTACTCTTTTATTTAATATAACTCTTGGGATAACATTTTCTTTTATGCTTCCATAAATATGCTTCACATGGATATATCACATATTGTGTATAATTTCACACAGTGTTAATATAGTTTCCATCTATTTAGATGTTTGCACATTTATTTTATCTCAATGTTTGTTCTCAGGAAGAGTGTTTTTCTTTATAAACTAAATTTTCAGCAAATTTTAAATGCATTTCACTGACGTAATTATACTTACATTGTATTTGTGTATTAAGTTACATTTTGTCCTTAAACCTGAAAATAACTTTTCAAATATATGTAATTTTAAATTTACATGTTTTTCCCTCAGAACTTTGAAAACCATAACCTATTGGATTCTTGATCTTATTCACATATTGAGAAATATGTTTCTTTTCATTGCTTTATAATTAATTTGAATTTTATCTTAGATAGCTTTACGTGATTTTCTCTATTATGGTATTATGCTTTTAACTATTGTTTTTCTTTTGATCAGAATGCCTTTAAGCTATTATAATTAATTATTTTAATAATTATATATTTTTATTCCCTATTTGACATTCACTCCATTTTATTTATTCGAACTTGCACTTAAACAACATGACTTATTTTAGATTTTTATGTATTTTAATTTTTCATATTGTTTATTTGTTTTATCCCTATTGGGACTTCTAAATATTCACTTCATCATATCTTCTAATTCATAATTTCTTTTTCAATTATGTAATTTTTCTATGCATTCTATCCTTTAAATTTAAAATTTTTACCTAATTATTTTGATAATATAACTTATTTTGATCTTACTTTTAAACTTTTCCTCTAATATATTTAAACATTATAACTACTTATATTATTTCTACAGTATATATACAATTTTGGGATTTTTTAAGATGTAATGGTACAGCTGTGTTTTTCTTATAATTTTGTTTCTTAATAACTTTGATCTTGATGACTTTTACTTTGTATATTTTAAAAAGAATAGTAGACTTCATTTTATTATAAATGACTGACCTCAATTGATGGGGCCATTGAAGATTCTGGGTCGAGGTATTTTATTCCAGTGAAAAGTTATCTGTAATGTTAATAATGCACCCTTTACAGACACCTGAAAATGATTAAGTCTATATATTTACCTAAATTGTCCTGAGTAAAACACATAGTGTACATATAAACCAGAAACTCATATGATGATTGGTGTTAATTTCCAAATCAACCAAAGAGGAGAAATACCACCTCCACTAACTAACCTATTTTTCTAAACTTTTGAAAATGTAAGGATTCTAGCTTTAGATAGCATAGTCAGATCCAAGTACTCCTGCATCTATGCTGCTGTGACATTATATTCACCAATCAGACACGTTAAATTCTAACAACCTGTGCTTCCATTATTAGCAATTCCCACAGGTAGCATCAACTTCCAGCCTAATTTTTATTCTACAGCTGTGCTTCTTCATTCTTTCCTGAAAAATTATTTGTGGAGGTACATGCCTTTGAAGTTTCTCAGCATATATTGTTATTTGAGGTTGAAAAGATAAGATTATCTAAATTTTTGCCAGAAACTCTCATACCCACATTATATCTTTGAAAGCATTGGTTATCACACTGCTGCTGACATGTGCATGTAGGAGAAGCATGTAAATGTCAGCGCTTTGCAGTCTCTAAGGGGCTGAAATAAACAATACCGGAAATCTTGGCCACTGAGGCTCACATGTAGATTTTCATTCCCAGTCCAGGCATCTAGATTCAGGGGCACCTTCCTGAGGGCCTTTTGGTTGAGGCCTTCTTCAGAAACTTTTGTTCAGATCCCTGTTTCTGGAGAAGAAATGGAACTTTGATAATAATTTTTATAGATTCCTATTAATATTCAATTCTCTTTAATCTTGCTCATACATTCTCCTCTACGCTCTCCTGCCCCCTTTTCCACAAAATTGCGGGCCTGTTTTTTATGAGGGTGCCACCTCGGCAGTGAGACAGTGCCCCATATTTGTGCTGATCCATCTGACCCTTTCCTGGTGCTTTTCCATGAGGAAAAAATGGAACAATGAGGAGTCGGTGCTTGATCTAATGTTGCCTGTTGTTTAACACAATCACAGAAAGGAAGACAAAAAGGCATAACTATTTCTTTGATGTGGGCCTCTTGCTTTAATTTAAAACTCTGATATTAAGCAGGTTAGCTCTTCCCAGCTCAGCTCAGCTCTTGAAATTTCATGGAAGAAATTCTGTTTTTATTGGTCTAAATTTTGTGTCTTTTATATAGAAAAAAGGTAATAAAATTGCATCTTATATTTAAAAATTGAATGCCTTCTGTTTTGCCATTTTACTGAAGAGAAAATTTGTGTAGCCTATTGGCATTATTAACAGTGAAGCTCCAAGTACTAATATTCAGAAAAAATAATGAATCAAAATCCAACTATTTCTCAGTACCATTTTCTTTTTTATAAACTTTCTATTTTATTGTCTGTAATTTAAAAACTTCTGTGGAAAAGAGTTTAAAATTTTCAAAGTTAATACAAAATTATTTTTAGAGTTTCTTTTTGCATAATGTTTGTCGTAAGTAGCTAATATTAATAAATTGTAATCATCAATTCTTATCTAAGCTGCACGTTAAAAAATATGTTAATATTTGCTGCTGCCTAAAATATAATACATATTTACATAATCTAATTTACTAAAAATAGTAATAAACACATATAAATAATCAACATACACAGGTCATTTTTTCTATTTCTTACTTATATTTTATGTTTCATATTTGTATCAGCACACTTTATGTCCTAGTATCATATATGGAAACGTGCCTATTTTGCATATTGTTATATTAAATAATAAGACATATGCTTAGCTTCCCCTAGGTTAAATTTTTTACATAATTGTTATTAACGTAAATAATCCAGAAATTAAAGTTTTTAAAAAAATTTCCAGTGCCCTCACTGTGCATAATATAATTCTATTTTTTAAAGTGTTAGTGCTGTTTGCATTATATAAAAGAATATTTTAGTGTATCAACTAACTACATACCTGAAAGCATGGCTTACTTTTTCATTAGTATATACTTTTGGTTGTACTCGGCTATTTTTCTAAAAGTGCTTGCAAATCAGTTCCAGGCCACAGGGCTTTGTCTTCAACAAAATAAGAATATCTCAGAGACCCACAGAAATAACTGTACCAAGTACTCCTATAAACAGGCTTCTGATAGAATGACTTACATAACTTTGAAACACTATCAGTGGACTAAGTTATTTCTCTAATTC
Source organism: Homo sapiens (assembly GCF_000001405.40). Lineage (NCBI taxonomy): Eukaryota > Metazoa > Chordata > Mammalia > Primates > Hominidae > Homo > Homo sapiens. The sequence goes on along the minus strand of NC_000021.9, from coordinate 6,292,017 downwards.
TAGCAGAGAAGCATATGTGCTTACAAGATAGAGTAAAACAAGTATGAATAAAACAGGACTAAATGAACTGACAAAGAATGATAATAGGTTTTGTTTGGAATGTGAACATAAAACATTCCTGCTATTATTTCCTTGGTATCTAAACATGAGCTAATGGGAGCCGTTGTTACATGTTGTACACCCTTAAGAAGGTTTACAGTTTTTCGTCTCACCTATATTCGTAGTTGTCTTTATTTGTGGTTTAGAATCTCAGCTCTTTTCATAGCTGCCTGGCACTCATCTTGTATGAGCTCCTTTGTGTTTCTGAAGCCTCTGGCATACACCGAGGGTGTGGGTTTGCCTGGAATGTAGCATCAACCTGTAGAGAACAGGATTTTCCATGACCCAGTCATTGAATAAACTTGATATCTGCTTCTGCTGTTGAGAAAACATTATTTCTCCTTCAGGAATATCCACCCTCTTCATCAAGAACATCGTGTCATTCTTCAGGGTCACAGAATGCTCTACAGCCTACTTCCTGGTGTCCACCAAGGAGGAGATTAGTTGCATCTGAATTCAAGGAAGATTCGAGAGGGCTCACAGCTGCAGAATTCCAATCACTCTCAGTCTGACTGTGCTGATTTTAGAAAGACACATGGGGATCTGCCACAAGGAAGGCACTTTGCAGGGAGGCCTCAACCCCATGGCACACCCCTTCAGGAGGGCTCTTCTCCTTGTAACAGTCACTTAGCCACTTGTAGAAAGGCAACTCTTAGAAAATTTAAATGGGGACCAAAATACTAACCCTAACCAGTTTATTATCTCAAAGAATTGGAAAAACAAAGTTTTCGAATACTACGGGATTAGAAGAGTAAACAAGATATGCCTTTTCTTTGGAGCTACATATATGTATTAAAAATGGGATGTACAAAGAATTTTTTATCACATGGAGAAGTGCTTATGAGATGATATAACATTAAACAAATTAATGAAAGGCACACATTAAAAAGTATAACCAAACTTATACATTAGAGCTCAAAATTTAAAATGTGTAGAAAAATGATTGAGAGGAAATATGCCGAATTATAGGAATTGATGTGTTTCTTATAGGAAGCAGGATCCTGTGAGAAATTAAATTGCTTTATTGATTCTCTTGTAATTTTATAGTTTCCAAAAGTTCTACAGAGAGTGTAATGTAGGACCTTAGTCAGGAATAAACATCTCTTTAAATAAGCAGCAGAGAATTTCAAAGGAAGTGTGTGGTATGGGTTTATGTGTTTCTTTCAAGATCTAATATTTTCCACGTAGTGCTTCAGAAAAGATAAGGTAATTTCAACAACTTAACCCCATCATCAAGAGGGTGTTACTTAAGTACATTATGGGAGGTCATAGATAAACAACCAGTCAGCCTCTAAGCATCAGAAAATCTGTGATGTCCATTGGCCTGTGAGATGGTCTGCATTTCTTTGAAGGAAAAAAGCAGGTTTTAAAACACTAGAACCGAATCAAATCCAAATTTGAATAGAAAGATTAGAAAGGCTTATGCATGGGAAAAAGATTCAGGGTATTCAACGGTTAATTCTGACTATTTCTGAGTAATTTAAATTTACCTATAATTTAAAAAAAAAATTAAGGTCAGGTGTGTTGACTCAAACCTGTAATCCCAGCATTTTGGGAGGCCGAGGTGGGTGAATCACTTGAGACCAGGAGTTTGCGACCAGTATGGGCACCATGGCAAAACCTCATATCTACTAAAAACACAAAAAATAGCCAATTGGTGGTGTGTGCTTGTAGTCCCAGCTACTTGGGAGGCTGACGCATGAGAATCGCTTGAACCTAGGGGGTGGAGGTTGCAATAACCCAAGATCTCACCACTGCACTCCAGTCTGGGTGACAGAGCAAGACCTTGTTTCAAAAAAAATTTTTTTTGTATTTTAATTAGGAATCAAATAAGATAATTAAATGTAAACTTACACTTAATTTACTTTTTAAGCATTTTAAGAATTGGTATTCTAATTTTGTGTCGGTACATTTTAAGAATCAATAAAATTATTTTTAAAATCAAAGCAATTTTAAAGCTTTTACTTCATTAGACTCCCTGGCAAGAAAGCCCTGGGAAGATAGAAAGTTTGGAGGATGTCAGAGGGAAGTTTGGGAAAAGTAGAGGAATATATGGAGGGCAGAAGGAGTGAACATTAGGGAAACCCTCCCCTAGCTCAGTCTTCAGATACGCTGGTGGACTTCCCCACTCAGCCTGAGTCACCTTCGCTACTGACCTCATCTTGTCTTCTGACTGGATGCTCCTTTCAGGAAGCTGGTGTCTGGAAAACTTCTCAATTTTAGTATCAATTATTATTCAGAGGCTGAAAGGCAAGCCTCCACCTAAAGTGCCAGTCTTGGGGCCTTGGTGAGACCCTCTGCTGGGGAGAAACTCCACTTCACTGGGGGGTTCTTATTTTATACAAAATGGGGACATGACGGGGCAGCCAAGCAGCAGAAAACCAAATCATGAGCAAGAACCAAACTCTTGGGGAGTTTGATTCTTTCTGCTACATAGTGCACAAGTTCTGGAGAGACTATAGGGGTGAAGAATAATAAAAGATTTTATTTTTGAATCATCTTGCGTGGTTGCCTGTTTGGAGTGCAGTAGCGTGATCATAGTTCACCGCAGCCTAGAACTCCTGGCTCAAGTGATCCTCTGCCTCAATATCCAGCATAGCTGAGACAACAGTTTGGAACTATCACACCTGGCTAAATGTTTTTAATGCTTCAAGTTTTTTGTATAAATGGGGTCTCACTATGTTGACAAGGCTGGTATCAAATTCCTGGCCTCAAGCAATTCTATCTCCTCAGCCAATCAATATGCCAGGAATACAGGCATGAGACACCGTGCCTGGCCAGCGCCTTTATAATGTTTTATTCTCCCAAGTTCTTCTCAAAAAAGTCAACATCCACCAAGTATCAGCTGAGATTTGAACTTCAACCCTGGGCTGAACTCAGTGGCAGGACTCTCCATTCCCAACAAGGGACAAATGGAGAAATAAATGGTGAGAGGGAGGAGCTTGATTCTGCCCATGCTAATTGGACACCTATTGTGTGCTAGGAAGACACACAGAGGTCAATCCAAATTCCAGCTCCAGCCACAGCAGGACAGCCATGGTGTAGAAGGCCTAGCCCAGAGGAGGGAGCCTTAGCAAGCGGAACACCCCTCCATGGAGTATTGACACTCTGTTATTTCAGTTATACTGAAAACTAGTAGAAGGTATGAGATATTGCACTCAACCCTTATGAGCAAGAAAATCCATTCAATCTTCTTTAATTTGGTTAAAACTAACCTTTACTAAAAGGCAGCAAACAATAATGCTTGTCTGTGAGAATTTAAAAACATCATAGCAAACCACTCCGTTCTCAGTTTAAGAGGAAAGGCAAAACGCTTGTGTGGGAGAATAAGAAAAAAAATATTTATGTAATACTTTGAGTTTCTATTGCTCCTAACCACCATTGCTACATAATTATTCCAAATTATAGCTCTTATTTACCCATCCTACTGTTAAAAAGTACCTCACTGATTCTGTAACCCCCAACTAATCCACCCTATAGTCCCTAGATGACCAGAGATGCCTATTATCCTCTGCTTTTTACTGTCACTCTCCCCAGTCCAGCAAACTCATTCCTCTTCCTGCATAAGCCTCCTGTGTTTCTGCCTTTTTTTATCTGCACCCTCTGCTGAGATTCTTTTGTCTTCACCCATCCCAAAGCCATCCATACTTCCACTGCTTGACTAGGGGTAATTATCTCATTCACCCAGCCTAATTTTTAATCTTACCTTCCTGCTCCCACCCTCTCTTCACTCTGAACAAGATTTTACTAGGTTGTTGTTATGTTCTGGGGTTCGGAGAATCTGACTAGTGTGAGTTTCCCAAGGTAAAGGTAATGCCTTAATAATTTTCACTTTAATTGCTCTTTGCGCAGTGTTTTGCACAAAATTTAACACAATAATTGCTCCCAGAGTAAATGTATAAATCTTTGCAATGTCTGATTTGACTCCCTTAGAGTTTGGATCTTTTCCCCTACAACCATCCAGAGTCCTGTCTAACCAAAGTGAAAATGCGGAACTCCCTCTTTCTGGTTGGCATCACTGCTGAGAACGGAAATAAATGCTGTCTATGCCAACTCCCTAGAACAAGTATAGGTTTCATCTAGACTAGTTTTCAAAATGAGGAAACAGGATGCAGACAAATACTTTATTCCCACTTTTTGGCCTGGGGTTTATTAACAAGGTGAAATTATACAGAAGAATAAATTAGTTTAGCTGAAAAAAGAAAAAATGTATAGTTAATGGAGGGAAAAAATTGAAAATGCAATAAAACCAGAAGATGTTCAGGAATTCAAAGTTGTTGATGCATAGAAATACTACTGGTTTTTGTACATTGGTTTTGTGTCCTAAAACTTTACTTGCTTATCCATTTCAGGAGGCTTTTCAAGTTTTCTCCAAAAGGAGTTTTGGAAAGACTTTAGCATTGTCTACGTAGTGACTCATAATGCAAATGGAGAAAGAGAATTCATTTTTTTTTTCTATTTGTATGCCTTTTTCTTTTCTATTGGCTGATTGCTGTGGATAGGACTTTTAAATCTAATTAAATTGTATTTGTTAGATTTTTGTATATTTTAATATGTCTCCAATTAATTTTATATCTGTATAATGTCCCCTTATAAAGGAATATGTAGCTGTTTTATTTAGTTATTTTATTACTGATGCACATTTGAGTTTTTTTCAGTTTGGAAAAGTACCAAATAATGCTGCTTAGAGCATTTGTCTGCATTGGAAAATATGCTGGCATTTCTATTGGGTGTATATACCTAGTAGCAGAGTTGCTGGGTCCTAGAGTGTGCTTATGTACATCGTGTATGTAAGGAGTTACTACTCAAGAGGTTTTGAATGCCGTTATAACAGTTTGCACACAGAATGGTATAAGAAAGTTCCAGTTGCTTGACATCATCACTAGTACTTAATTTTGTCAGTTTTCAAAAATGTGAATGATTGCATAGTGGCATTCAATTGTAGTTTTCATATGCATTGTTCTGATGCATAAGGATGTGGATATGTTCATCTACTTGTTGGCCCTTCGGTTCTGTATGTGGAACTCCTAGTCACATGTTTGTCAATTTTGTTCAATGTATTGCATCTTTGTTTATTAATTGATGGGATTTAGTTAAATAAACTAGATAAAAGGCTTTTGCCACATCAATATATGACAAATGTTGATTTCCACTTTGTTCTTGCCTTTCAGCTCTCCTGAAGGTTTTTTTTATGAAGAGAAGGTTTTAATTGTAATAAAGTCCAATTTGTCATATTTTTGTCTTGAGAATTAATGCATTTTGTGTCCCAAGAAATCTGGGCCTGTGCCAGTCATGGACATATTTATCTATGTTATCTACTAGAAATATTGCTTTCAGCTTTGACCTTAAAATTTAAAATCCACTTTTCATTGGAATTTGTTAATAATATAAGATAGGAGTGTTTTTTCTCACATAAATAACTGGTTGACTCAAGGCTATTTACCGAGAAGACTGTCTTCACTCCTCTTCTGTGCCTGTTTTGTAATATACAAAATGTCCAAATGTGTGAGTCTGAGTTGGACTCTCGAGTTTTTCTAGTTTTCTTTGTGCCTATTTTTGCATTACTACCATAGATAGCTTTTATTACTATAGCTTTAATCTAAGTCTGAATATATGTCATTTTAAGCTCACAAACTTTGTTATTCTTCAGGACAGTTTTTACATTTCTTCGATTTTTTATATGTATTTAAATTTTTTAAACTGATTAGACAGTTTCCACAAGATTTCTGCCAAAATATTGTATTGTGAAAATGGAAATCTATGAATCAATTTAGGGAGAAGTTACATAGAAACAAAGCAAAACAAAACACTAATAACATCCAAAACAAACTTAAAGAGAACACCACAATAAGAAAAGAAATTCCCAAATTGGAATAAATATTTACAACTCATGAAATTACAAATGGGCTCGCATTTCCATAAAGGGCACTCTCTCTCTCCCTCTCTCTCTCTCTTTTTTTTTTTTCCACAGAGACTCACTCTGTCACCCTGTCTTGAGTGCAGACGTGCAATCTCGGCTCACTGCAACCTCTGCCTCCCAAGTTTCAGCAATTCTTCTGTCTCAGCCTCCTGAGTAGCTGGGGCTACAGGCTTGTGCCACCATTCCCGGCTAATTTTTTGTAATTTTAGTAGAGACGGGGTTTCACCAGGTTGGCCAGGCTGGTTTTTAACTCCTGACCTCAAATGATCCGCCCGCCTCAGCCTCTCAAGTGTTGAAATTACAGATGTGAGGCACCACAGCTGACCTGTAAAGACCTCTTAAAAATTAGTTAAAAAACAAACAAAACAGAAAAAGAGAAAGAAGAAACAGCCACTCAGTTAAAAGAAAAAGATAAAGAAAAAGAAAAAGAAAAGAAAAGAAAAAAAGGCAAAAGACATTATTTTACAGGTCTAGTGCCCTGTGCCCCTCACTGTAATGGGGGTGGATATGGGCTTCACAGGACATGAAATTCATCAAACAGTTGCTGGTTGAAGGAGGGAAAATCTTGCGGGACCAGCCTCCAGAACAGAGCCTGTGGTGCACTGTTTCATCCCGTAGCCCTGGTAAGAAAACCTGGCTGTGCCGTGCTTTATGTTCACCTGCATTTGCCCTGTTCAGAGGCCTGAGCTACCGTGGACACAAAAGTCTGCTCAAACTCTCCCCATCCCAATATTCTATCTGGTATTGAGCATGACACCCTGTCTTCACTGAGCATGTGTTTATGCAGTTTTGTGACCACCTATCCATTTTACAACAGGAAGACTGAGGCCCCCAAAAAAGGCAAAGACTGGTCCATATCCCAGAAATTGGGAAGAGCACAGAGTATTAGGGAGGGATCCAGCTTCCAAGGCCTTGCATGCACCCCACCCATCAGGTTTGCTTTGGAAATGAGTGCTCTTAAGTCCTGGAAAACCCTGTGGTCTACTTTCTACCTGGGCTTTCTACCCTTCCTTATTCTCACATAGGTGTGCAGCCATGAACACACAAACACACCACACACACACACACACACACACAGGCTTCTAAGGTGGAGATCATGGAGGTGAGGTTAGAGAAGAGGAAACCAGAGAAGTGACAAAACGGGAAGAAATAGAAGAGGCAGCTTTGCCATGAGGCAGAGGCATCCACTCCCCCAGCTACATGACCAGGAGCTGACAGCATGTGATGAAGGATCCTCCAGGTTCCCTGGGTTCTTCCAGGCCTGGGGATCTTCCCAGCTGTTTCAAGAGGACAGGACAGGGGTTGTGACTCCCACCTCTATGGGCACCTGGAACTAAAATGAGCTATGCCCTCCCCCAACCACCCCATGTGATATAAAGTGAGGCTACGGGAAAGAAAACCTTCGTTTTCTCTCTCATAAATAGGGGTACTCAAAAGGAATAATACCAAGAATTCTAGATACTCATAAGTGTCTGCTCCCCTTGGCTCTTCATTGGTAACTCACTGTGCTTTGAGACTCTGGGAAGAGGCTTTTCAGGTTCTAGAGGTCCTTCAGAGAAGAGAGAGGCCTAGAGATGTGGGCAGATGAGGACTTGGAATAAAGCAGAATGTGACAATGCACTGGGCTCTGGAGTGTGGGGCCCAGAAAAAATACTAGATTTTTGGGCTGTCCTTGAGGTCCTCATTCAGAAGTGGAAGAAAATAATGTCTCTGAATGCTGTTAAAGTGTTTAATGAGTGCACAGCACACTCAAAGAGGCTGAGGAAAATAGGAATCAAGGGAGGTTTCCGAGGTTACTTTTATGGCCCTTGGAGTCTTCAGATACTGCTCCTTTTCCCAGGGGTCCTTGAATAGCCACTGCCTTGAGAATTCCCCAATGCAGGTGCCTGTTTTGTGATGCTTCCACCTGGGACTTCAGGGCTAGTGGAGGCCTCTAGGTGGCGGCAGACCCCGTGTTTCTTATGCCCGCTGGGCTTTACTGGAGCAGCTGGAGCCGGGGGAGAGACAGGCTGAGGTCCTGCAGCTCCTGTTATCATTCATGATCTCCACATTATTGGGTGGCCAAAAGTGGGAAGAAGGGCTTTGTGATTTTCCATGTTATTTTACTCAGCGACTCTTCCCCTAGCACTCACCATGTGGCAGCTACCTTGGTAGGTTCACCTTATGGTACCAAAAATGATTATGTTATCCCTGCCTCCCCGCGGGGAGCCCACAGTCTGAGGACGGCAGGACAAAAACACTAAAGCAAGTACATGTGAAAGAAAAGAGCATTTTATAATGGAAATAAAGTAGAATGTTGGGAGGGAGGGCTGGGGAGAGGTTGCCTGGAGGGGACATGAATGCCTCCCTGAGGTGACATTATGTTGTGACCAGAATGACAACAGAGAGCCAGTCCTGCGCAGGTGTGCAAAGTGTGTCAGGGAAAAGCCACTCTTTGTGAAGAGACTCACAGGCACAGGTGAGTTCAGCAGAGGAGGTTATAACGGGACAATTGTGGCGGCAGGCAGCCTGAGAAAGAAAGGAAAAGAGGGGAGGGAGGATCCTGGGGACTGAAAGAGGAGATTAGTCATTTGCCCCTCTCTGACAAAATTTCCCTGAATTTTAGCACATGTTGACAACAAATACTATCTCACAACTTTTGTGAACCAGAATCTCGATATAGCTTAGTTGGGTGCCTCTGCCTCAAGGTCTCTTACGAGGCTGGGGCTGTGATTTCAACTGAAGCTGGATTTGAGGAGAGATCAGCCTTCTATCTGCCTCATGGAAACTGGCACGATTCAGTGTGAACTGAGAGCCCGAGTTCCTTCCTCTCGATTGGCCTGGGCATCTCCTCAGTTCTCTATCATGTGGGTCTGTGCCTAGAGCATCTTAGGACACTGCAGATCACTTCCTCATCTTGAGGATTACAATACAGAGATGAAAAATGAAAGAGATAGACAGACATATGCAGAGAAAAAGAGAGAAAGGGAGACAGAGAGATTGAGAGAGGACACACAGGACAGAGCAAGTAAGAGGAAAATAATAGCTGTTTTAGAAATATAACTTTGGAAGTTGCAGAAGACTATGTGATTCCCCACCATGTTCACATACCAGAACCTTAATCCCCAGTGTAATGGCCTTAGCAGGTCAGAGGTAATTAAGTCCGAAGCATGAGGACCTCATGATAGCGATTACGGGCTTTGTAAAAGAAACCGCAGAAGGCTGTCTCTCCCTCTCTCTGCTAAATGAGAAAACAACCTGAAGTCTGGAGTTTGAAACTCAGAAGAGAGTCCTTACCAGACCCCAACCATGCTGGAAGCCCAATCTCAAATTTCTGGCCTCTAGAACTAATGTTTTTTATTTATAAGTTGCCTAGTCTATGTTTTTTGGTATAGAAGTCTGAACTAAGTCAGAAGTGATAACCTATCACATTTGTTGTTTTCCCTTTGACAGAAACTAGAACCAGGTCCCCAAAGAGTTCATCCAATGACTAACAGAAATTCTTCAGTTTGCAGAATGACAGATAAGAAAAGATACAACTTGTTGAAAGAATGAAATTTATTCCACTTATGAGACTTCTAAAAAGTGGCTAAAATTGGTCGGAACCAATATGGTCAACTGGAGTCTGTGTGAAATAAGCTCACTGATGTCAGAGCCCAAATTTCCATCACATGTTTTGTACTAACTGTCCCCAAATTTGCACATGTGATCTGTGTGTAGCAAGAAAAAATAGTTGTTCATGCCCAGTGATTTTCCATACATTTTTCCTTTAAGCAATTCCGTACTAATCCAGAACCTACCTCCTAAACCTTTCTGAGAATATTACTACCTTTAAGTAAGCACAGGGAAACAGACTTGAGCTGGAATCCCATCTCTCTGTTAGAAACCCGGTGTTATAGTACCTGCTTCTGAGGCACTGAGAGGTGAGCTGCGTTTTAAAATAACAGAGTCACTCACAACTTAGTGTTGTTGTGAGACTTTGTTGGGGGTGCCCACCACATAGGCTGAGATGAGGCATATACATATGATTCTAAATATAATGCACAGCACTGGAATATTTAATGCCAGAAGACAGTATCTGATTTTCTTTTAATTTCAACCTCTTCTGCTGTGGAATGGAAAATTAAGGCCATATATATAAAATATATATCTTTTATGTATAAAGATACATAAACTATGTATCTTTTATATATAAAGATATATATGTATAAGTTTATATATTATATATAGTTATATATAATTGATATATATATAGTTATATATAATATATAAATAAAAATATTTATATACATTATATATATATATATTTTTTGAGACACAGTCTCGCTCTGTCACCCAGGCTGGAGTGCAGTGGCAGGATCATGGCTCAATGTAATCTCTGCTTCCTGGGCTCAAGTGATTCTTACACCTCAGCCTCCTGAGTGGCTGGGATTACAGGCATGCATCAACACATCTGGCTAATTTTTGGATTTTTCGTAGAGAAGGGTTTTTGCCATGCTGGCCATGGCTGGTTTCAAACCCCTGGCCTTAAGTGTTCCAGCTGCCTTGGTCTACCAATCTGCTAAGATTACAGCAAGAGCCACTGCATCCAACCGATTTTGATTCATTCTATCTCATATATCACCAAAGACTGTTTTTGGAAGTTGATGTTAGCATAATCCCATTATGCATACTTCAGGGCTGGGGAGACCTGAAGCACACAGTCATTTTCATATGGTCACAGAAATGAAAAGGAAAAGAAGATTTTAACCCAACTCTGTTCTCTCAAACCTGGGGCCCTGGCTGCATTTAGAACTTTTTGGGAATTAAGGGACATAATTGTGTTTGCATAACTGTTTACAGGTAAAGAGTTGACATGGGAGAGGAGGGTGAGCAATCAGCAGCCCAGCAGGGACTTTGCGTAGATTTATGGAGGAAAAGGGCTCAGGGGATAAAACCTTGAAGAAGTTAACAGACTTCCCTTGTGACAAAACCTAACAGAATTTAGAACTTTGGGAACCAGAAACCCACATTCTAGAGACAGCCCTGTATCTAGCTAACTTCTTGGGAGATGCTTGAGAGGGCACTGTGTTCTCATTGTGTTATATTCCCAAGCTGTTGCCTGAGAAAGGCTCAAAGTGAGAGCCTTTTCTGACAGTATACATACTGGCTCAGCCTACATCCTTGATACCACTGGCCATTCGACAAGAGGCACCCACAGGTAACACAGTTTAGCCCAGGGCAGGTCCGTCCATGCCAGGCCACCTGTGTCATCTAATCTGGGCAACCCGACCCTGCCTACCATTACCCTGTGTTGCAAGGGGAGCAGGAAAGGAGGGGGCTTTTCCTCACAGGGGCAGGTTTTAAGACACAGGAACCCTGGTGGGTCTGTCATGTTCATACCCAGGTCACGGTTGGTGGAATAAAAAGTTGTGAGTTGCGGACCAAGTACGTCTACTCAGATGTGAATCCCAAGGCCTTAAGCTGTCCTCGGGTTTCCTCATTGGCTGGGGGTCTATGCAGATACTCCTATGTTCCTGATCTAGGAAACAGAATTTCTAATGCAGATGTCACCTGGTGGTAAAAACAAAGAAGACAATTAACTTTTTTCGCTGCTGGGAACACTCTTTGTAGAGCTGCATTAAAATCAGTGAGCAGATATTTGATGGGTTCAAGTCCCCCATCTCCTTGGACAACTGGCAGGTTCACCACACCCCCCAAGCATGGCATACAATGAGTTATGTTGAGAGCAGGCACATGGGGTTCTCTACAGAGAGGGACCTGACAAAACCAGGATGGGTCCAGGATCCAGACCCAAATATGGAATTTCTCTGCGCTTTCTCCTAGGGGATTTCCATGAGTGACCCTCAGATCTACCCCCCAAAAATCTAGCCTTAACTGGTCCCAGTGGCAACTTGGTTAAGTGTAAAGTCCCTTTTTACATTCTTGTAGAAATATCAGAGAAGGCCTTTGTGTTGTTTTTACTTTACACTAGGCTGCATTTATTCATGTTACTACAGTTTGTATAGTTTTAATTATTCCCCTCTGATATCATCTGTAGCAAGCAGGTTCATGGTACTGCCAGACTTTCTCCAAGACTTGAAAGCCACCACTATCACTAATACTCTACAAAAATAGGGAAGAGTTTACATGAAAAAGGGGTTATATTGTTTCCTACATTTGTCTGCAATGTGTCATCTAAGAGAACTCATCCCAGTAGCCCATCAGGGCAGAAGTGGTGCCCTCACATCTCTTTGTAATGTTCTATAATGGGGGTCACTTCCCAGAGTGGTTTAGCCTTTCAATGGCTATTATTTCTGATCAAAATGGAATAAAACTAGAAATGAATAACAGAAGAAAACAAAAATAGCAACATATATATGGAAATTAAACAACTCACTTTTGAGCATGCTCATGTTTAAGGGTTGTAAGACTTAATATTATGAATAATGCTTATGATGTCTAAAGCGAGTTACAGATTCAATGCAATCCCTTTTAAATTAAGAACTTTTTTTTTGAAATAGAAAAAGGAACCAACAAATTATATGGAATCTCAAGCGACCATAAAGAGCCCCAAAATGTTTAAAAAAAACAATGTTAGTGACCTCACCTTTTCTGATTTCAAAGCACATTACAAAGCAACAGCAATGAAAACAGTTTGTTTCTGGCATAAACACAGACAATTTTTCCAATAAAACAGAAGGTAGCACACATGTAAACCTCACACATATGAGCAAATAGCTATTTGCATACCAATATTCATTGCAGCATTATTCAGAAATGCCAATAGGTGAAAGCAACACAAATTTTCCTCATAGAATGAATAAATAAATAAAATTTGTAATATAAAACTAATGGAATATTACTTAGCTTTTAAAGGCAGAAAATCTTGTACCATCCACAATAAAGAGGAATCTTGAGAACATAATGCTAAGTAAAATTAGTCACAATAAAACAGATACTCTATGATTCTACTTATATGTAATATCTAAAGTATTGAAACTTAGAACCAGAAAATAGAATGATTTTTATCAGGAGCCAGGTGGTAAGGACAATGGGTAGTTGTCATTTCATGTGTACTGAGTTTTAGTTTTGCAAAAGAAAAAATTTTACAAATATGTTGCTTAACAATGTAAATACACTTAACATGACTGAACTGTATAAGAAAAAATATTAAAGATTCTAAATTTTATGTTATGTATTTTTACCACAATCGAAATTAAAAATGACACCCAAGGGCCAAGAGTGATCACTCATGCCTGTAATCGCAGCACTCTGGGAGGCTGAGGCATGCAGGTTACTTGAGGCCATAAGTTCAAGACCAGCCTGGCCAACATGGTGAAACCCCAGCTTCATGAAAAATACAAAAATTAGCCAGGCGCGGTGGTGCAGAACTTTAATGCCAGCTACTCAAGAGGCAGCAGCTGGAGAATTGCTTTAACCTGGGAGGTGGAGGTTGCAGTGATCCAAGATTGTGCCACTGCACTTTGGCAACAGGGTGAGAGTCTGTCAAAAGAAAAAAAAAAAAAAAAAAAGACACCCGAAGGGAGAGAGTTACAAAGTTTCTGAAAAATTATCTTCAAATCACATAAATCTTTCCTTCACACTAAGATAATATAAACAATAGATGTTGAAATTAAGACAATTTCCATGATTACTCACTTAGACAGAATAAATTATTGGCCATCAAATAAGAAGAAAATATAAAAGTCATAAACAAAATAGGGGCAATATTTATACAGGCAAACAAACAGTTAAATCATTGTATTAACAAAAGACATAGGGATGGTTCATATTTGACTTCTGCCCCACACTGTCTTAATGCATACAGAGTTGAATATTGTTATACAATATTATATTATACAAATTAAAACTTAAAACAATAAACTAATATAAGGTGCCCTACCCTAAAACATGAAACACAGAAATGTAAAATTGCAAAACAAAGTTAAAATAAACATTAACCCCCAAATTCTTATTTGAATAATGAAATTCAAAATCATAATAAATAGGTAGAAAGTAAAAACACAATTAACTGATGTGAGACAGCCTACTCTAAAAAATACAGAAACATAAAATTATAAAACATAATTAAGAGAAACTTTAATCCATAAAATCCTGAATAAACATAGTGTCCAAATGAAAAAGAATCCCAGGTAACTACAATTTTTAACTCTTCCTGTGAATCTATGAAAAGTATGAATTTTGAATTATTTGGATACAGTTAGGGCAACAACATTTCAGAGAAAACACATTATAATTAATACAAAGAGCTGTGATGAGAAAGTTTTAAGGAATAAGCATTTAAGTAATACTAGAGAAAGTTTTAAATTATGCTACTGATGCATTGCTGCTTTTCTTACACAAAACGATAAGGCTGTAATCTAGCTTTTAATTGAAAAGTCTTACATTTCTAAATATGGTAACAATATAAATATTGTAAATACAGTATAAAACATTGACATATAAAATAAAAATTGGAAATAAATTGTACTATTAGTCAAATAAAAGTTGGGAAAACTGGAAGAAGATGCTAATAGTAACATTGTGCCTAGAGTCAATTAAACATACAAGCCAAATATTTTAATAAATTATAAATTATATAATTTATACATAATATATACATTTGAGCATGCTATTTTACAACTTCTGAAAGGAAATTACAGACAAATGTGACACATGATAATTCAGAAAGTGAAAACACAGTCATAGTAATCTTCATATTAAAGAAGACAGAATCATAAAATACTAAGTGAGAAATAAAGTAATAATTGTGAATTCAATATATGTTGAACAATATTCTAATTTCCCTTACGGAAAAAGTTTTTGTAAGAAATCAGTAAAATGAGTACATACAATAAACCATCCTACAGTAGAGGCTGTTGGCATATAGAGTTTACATTTCTATGATTAGGTCCTACTAAGAAAAAGGAAATTTTAAAATAAAATACTTAGATTTTCCTATTTAATAAGATAATTTTTGCCTATAAAGTTTTTCAGTCTAATTTTCTTGTAGAATTAGGTTTTAGCCATCGTAAAACTTGACATTATGAAGCAGAAAACAGGTGTCATCTGTCTCTGGTGTTCCTGGAATTTCTAACCCAAATGCCAATTCCTCCACAACTCCCTTCACACACTTCTGAATTGAAGCACAACAGATTTATTAAAATTGGCATAACAGCGGTCTCCAGAAATGTGCAGAGATTTTCCCAGATCCCCAAAATCAATGACAAACTATTCAGATCATTTAGGTTCTCACAAGATTCTGGGAGGACTTTGGCTTTCAGTGTGAACGCACTGGAAGATTCTAAGAGAGAGGGAGAGAGAGAGAATGTGTGTGTGTTGAAATCAGAACCCCACCTTATGTGTTTATTGTGGAAATTGAAAATGAAAGCCTAAAGTTGAAAATTAAAATCACACATGATAGCACGTTGCAAACTGTTTTCTGTGCTAGATGGGTCGTTCTAGGGTGTAGGACCCTGGAAACACCGTTTTCCCCTCCTTCCGGAAAGAGCTACTCACACTGCTCAAAGCCTGCATCCACATGTACCATGTCGAAGACCAGCTCAAGAGCCTGGACCCATATGCCACCTTCAGCAGGGTTGACTGCAGCTTCTTGTTCTTCCTGAGCATCTTCTCCAATGGTGACCTGAGAGTTGCGGGAGGCATTGGGGCCAGGATTGAACAGAGGAAAAAGGAGCACGGAGGCCAGGTGCTGAGGACCAGGCCATCTCACCTGGAGAGTTCTGGCCCTGAGACATCCAGACCAGCATGATGTTTAGGTGCAGACAGCTGGCCCTGGGTGGCCCTGTGCTGATCACCGGCCTCAGCCCCTCAAACAGTGGGAAATGGAAGAATGGCTTGGAAATGGGCCCTGTCGACAGTGTGTCACCTGAGCACATTCTCCCAGGGGCCCAAGAGGGGCCATCGTGTCTCTAGAACCAGAACTGGAAGGTGAAACTGCCAGGGGGAACAAGGAAGAGGGTCCTCAGTTGGGTGGAGGGTCTCACAGCAAGACGCCTGGCTTAATCAAGCTTGGCCATTCCTGAAGCACGTTCAGTGACTAAAAGTGCCTACCATGAGCAGCTGGAACACACTCTCTGAGAGCTGCAAGATGCATGGGGACCTCAAGTACCTGTTTGTAATTACAGCCAAGGACCAGCAGGCAGCATTGCTGCATCCACATGGGCTTTTGCTGGAACCAGTAAGTCTCTGCCAGCCCCTCCCAGGCTCCTGGGATGCCACTTGTTCTGGGTCTGTGGACAGATAACCAGGACACTTACTCAGTGAAGCCCATCGCTCAACCCCAGCCCCACCATACCCTGTCTCCTATGCCATTCCTCATCCCAGAAGGAAAGGCAATGCCTTTGTCCCACAGCCCCTGCCTTGTGTCATCTCATGTGGGGGTATGGAATGAACCCGTCAGCCTAAACTCCAGTCCTTCTGCCTGAGGAATCTGTCCCCGCTGTCTTAGTCGCCCTCTAGGGAGCTGTCAGTGGGATAAAGAGCAGCCCTGGAAGAGAGGCCCACCTTCTTCTGTTTGACTTCAGGACAGCCTTTCAGGGCAAGAACCCAGAGCAGATGGAGGCCTCACAGAAGGCTGTGGCAGGGCTCTCGGCTTGGTGGGCTAAGCATCTCCCTCTCTGATGACTGCCATGGGGCCCACAACCACTCATTCAAGAGGGTCACCACCACATTGCAGGTGTTCAGCTGGACGGTTCCCCAGGCAGAGCCTGCCATGGACTGCATACACACAGAGGATGCACACCTTGAAGTTGGACAATGAGGAGAACATTCCTGAAGAGGTGCATGCAGCCTGGCCCTGCCCTCACTGGGAACCCCCTTCCATCTGGGTACTAGACAGAATTCTGTGCACTTTTCTGGAGGCTCCATGCTGGTCTGTTCATTTGGAAGTTTGATGCTGTCCGTGAGGAAGTAACAAAAGAGATATCTCAGAGCAGGTTGTGGGGCACAGGCTGAGAGATTTTCTCCCTCCCTAGTCCCTCTGCAGACACGGGGCTGGAACAAGAACCTGTGGATAATGAGGGAACTTCTCTTCGAGAACCGGCCTGAGCAGCTGCTTCAAGAAAGAGCCACATTAAAGTGCCTATAGCCCCTGATGAGGGAATGGTAGCCTCAGGCCCGCCTGCCATGTGTGAGCAGGTTTTCTTGCTATCAGGATGAAAGCAAAGAAAGCTGGAATGAGCCCAGCCCTCTCAGGCACCTTGAAGACTGTTGGGGTTCCTTCCAGCCCTTCTAGCCTTATGCTTTTTGGCAGGCCACTCAGGCACCTTTTTCCAGCCTCTGAGACTTCCATGCTCTGGAAGGAGAGGGTCCCACTTTTCACTAGGCTATGGGGCCAGGCCCATCCAGCTCCCGGCTTCCACTAACAACCATGGGGCTCTCACCTGGGCACACACTGCCCAAACATGGACCTTCTAAGGCAGAAGATCATGTGTCTTGCAGTTCCAGCTTTCTAGGGCTTAAAAGTTATCAGTGCTGTTATTAAGATAGGGAAGTGAGAAAGGAAAACTTGCTGTAAAAGTTTCCCATAATCTTACCACGGAGATCATCAGCACAGATGACAGCACAGGTAGGGCTGCTGGGGAGGCTGAAGGAGAGTGTCCAGCCTGTTCTGCCAGCTGGTCCTTGCCAGGGGTGTCTCGTGACCCAGTCCCTTAGAGAAGCATGCAGATATCTCAGCAAGTATCTGGAAGGTGCAGATCAGGGCAACCCAGCACTACTGATGGTGGAGTGGGCCTACCTCCCATCAAGCTGTGTCTCCACAGCTGACCCTTGTAACCAGGAGGTGTTTTACAACATGTGCAAGGCAGTGAGCTCCATCAGCTGTGTGGCATTCAACACTCACTTCAACTCGGACATCTCACCAGAAAGCAGTGGGGACTGGCCAATGCAGAAGCCTGCAAAGTGGAACAGAGCGTCATGGGGTGGGGGATGTGGGGCCTGCCTGCTCATCTGAGCACTGCTCCCTGAGGGTGTGATCTGCAGGCTTCCTGAAGGAGGGCTGTGAGCTCTTCTGCGAGGCCCTGAGCCTGTGGAACATAGCTGAGGCCAAGCCCATGGGGATTTGTGTCTACTTGCACCTCCTTGCTCATCTCAGTACACTACAGGTGACTGTGCCGAGGTGGGCCTTGAGCATCCCCTGGGCTGTGTCAGCAAATGGCTCTGGGCCTGGCCTGGCATTGAGGGATGGCAAAAAAGGAGCCTGGGGTTGCATTGTCATCCCCTATGGTAGCATAAAATGAGAGAGTCCAGACCTGCAGGACTGGAACCCTAACAAAGGGGTTAGGAGACTGCTCACTTTCCCTCAGGAACCCATGTGGAGGAGCTGAGGGAGGTTAAGGAGACCCTAGGGACTCACTTGTTCTGTCTGGGCTTCCCCCTGCTCCATCGTTTGATGACCATTTTCTGGGAAGAGCTCAGGAACCTCCTGTGCTCTAGTGAGACGGGGCCTCCCCTCACAGGGTATTCTGAGACTGTGAGTGAGAAGCTAACACAGTGCCTTGCAATACTCATGGGAGCTGTCATCCTCTGTGACCATCACGTGGCCTTGTAGTGTTCAGACTGCCTGGCCTGCCTGGGGTTTGGTGAGGCTGTTTTGTGGTCAGGTGCTTTAGAAGCTCACTTTCTCTGCAATCAAACAGTGACTGTTTTCATGTCTGTTTATGGGTTTAAAAAATCCTAATATTTCCTTTATAGTAGTTCACCTTGTATGTGTTTATTTGTATAAATTTTATTAGAGTAAAGAGAGCTTAAGACAATAGCATTTTAAGGTCTTAATGAGGCATAGACTTTCATGTCACAACAGCTAATGTTGACCTCCTTTTGCTGCCTTTGTGTAAATTACACATAAAAAGTGCAGCCAGAGGTGACTAGAGCTGAGCTGCTTGGGCTTGCTTGCTGGCCTGCAGTCAGGTGGACTCTGGCTGTGAGGCAGTGCCCACCCTGGATCTACATCCCCCACCCCCTCTCCTTAGTCCCTGAGTAACCAACAAGGCCGTGCTAATGAGAGGGCGAGTGATGGGCATCGGGCACCCCCATATTATCCGGGAAGATTTGAATGCCATCTGGGCTGGAGCTGTTGGGATTAGGGGCTGAGGCTGTCTTGGCTTGTCATGGTGCCACCCACAGATGTGCCTGCCCTGTGCTGCTTCTCCAGAAGCCGGCTGCCCATGGCCCTGAGCCTGTCACACCATGCTTGCTACCTCATGCTGCTTGTGTTTGAAAAACCCATCCCGAGATGACGCTGCTGGATGTAAGTCCTGAAAAGGGGGCATCACCTTTGTCCTGGGGGATTAGGAGCTGACCAGATTCCTCTTGACTCCCTCCCAGAACAAGTGGGGCAGGTGCTGCAATTAATGTTGCCCCCTAGAAGATGTGTTTGCACTGGCTGAGCAAATATACGATGCAGAGACCTAAATGAAGACACGTGAATGGGGTGTGTGGACATCAGTTAGTAGCTGGGAAACAGGTGCCTCTCAGGCGTCTCGTGTTCCAGCAAGTGTGGAATATGCCTGTGCCCATGAGTGTAGACATCTGAAGTGTATACATTTGGCTGCTGCTTTTGCTGCCACTATTCCCAGGCCCAACCTGGCTTAAAGTCCAGGTTTTAAGTAAAAAGTAGGAGGCTTTTTGCCATACAGCTACTTGAGAGGCTGAGGTGAAAGCATCACTGGAGCCTAAGAGATTGAGGCTGCAGTGACCCATGATTCAGCCACTGCACTGACACAGTGAGACCTGCGTGTGCCCTTCTACAGAGAATAGCTCTGGGGCATTTGGGGATCCCTACAGTCCCGGACCCTCCCTGTCCCCTGCTGCCTGTGCTCCTTTCCTTGCCTGCTGTCAGAGCCTAACATGGAGGCGGTTGCCACCCTGTGAGCCTGAGGGAGCTGTGTCTGACTGGAACTTCTGTCTGAGGTTTTGCGAAGTCTTACTTATGAATATGGTCTGTCCAGATACCTTGTTTCAAAGGAAGTGAGCATGAGCTAGCAAGTGTAGCCACCCCACAGCTGATAAACAACTTTGTCTTGTTTTTAAATCATCAATCTTCATTTCACATTGGAATAAAGTAAGTGAAACCTGCTACCCGAGCCTCGCCCGTGTGTTCTGTAACCCAGACTCATGTGGTTGTGTGGGCTGTTGTCAGAAATGTTATAAAAAGGTTATGCATAAATTAGATCAAATATAAAATTATGCTTATAATGTCACTTGAGTGGGAGGTAAGAGGGTAGAGTCACAGGAAATCTGTTGGGGTTTACACCCCTGCTACTTACCAAGCTCATGAGAGTGTGGCACTGGTGACCATCACCTGACATTGGTGACAGAAGAGAAAAGGTCGAAGTGAAGGCCAGGTAGGAGAGAGGTGCCAGGCTGTGGGGCCAGGCCCTGCGCATGCTGGGCC
This sequence comes from Homo sapiens, assembly GCF_000001405.40. Taxonomy (NCBI): domain Eukaryota; kingdom Metazoa; phylum Chordata; class Mammalia; order Primates; family Hominidae; genus Homo; species Homo sapiens. Next base: position 6,271,618 of record NC_000021.9, on the reverse strand, counting down.
TGTTAGGTCACTGAACATCTAACTACCCGGGAACCAGCTCTTTTCACATCATTTGAGGTAAGACGATGGGGGAGCACTCTCCAGAAGTCACACTGCGCTGGGAGAATGGAGGAGAGTCTACATACCGCCATCTTAGGGTAGGTTTTAGATTGAGCTGAACTGTCTTGGAGAGCTAATGAGATGGGAGGAAGACAGTCCCCCAGGTGCACCTAACAGCCAGAGCCTATGAAGTTAGGGGGGTTGTGTGGGGGTGGCCTTTCCCTATAAGAGGAGGAGCTTAAAGCTCTTAAAGCTGGTGGCTGCTGCTCTGCCATCCCTCTACAGAGCAGTCAAGTCCTCAGCTGCAAGAATATCTGAATGTCTTTTGGAGTGTTAGAGTCCTCTGTGTCTTAGAAATTTTGAAAAGAAAAACAAATCTCAATATTAATGTTGATTAGTTTCTCTGAGCCAATTGGGGAAAATAAACGTCCTTCACCTCAAAGGTTTAAGTGACACCGAAGGGTAGCCACCAGTGTCTCGGCCACTGAAGCCTCATGCATGCTCTCACTACCAGTTTGATTTGCAGCCCCATAGTTGTGTTGTACTAAATATTCTTTCCTCTGGCCTTGTCCAGTGAACACGGTTCACATGGCTAACACCACTTCTTGAGATGCGAGCACCATGCAAAGCTGAGAACGGATTGGGTTTTGTGACCATTGTGCCTCCTCCTCACCTGAGAGGCCCATTTTTCCTGGTTGATTCATTAAGTGTATTGGTGCTGTCAGTCGCCTCTGGACAATTGAAATGACAAGTGGCTGTTGATTCATAAAGAAAATGAAGGCTTTAGATGTGAAACCCTCGTTTTCTCTTGTCCTTCTCTTAGGTGAAAGATTTTATTTTTTTCAAAAGGCTACATACTGGTATCCCAGCAGGTGTAGTGTGAGAACTGGCATATGTTAGGCTATGGTGTCAGTGTGGATGGGCAATTCTTCAAGATGGAAAACCAAGTCTCACTGAGTTGCTGGAGCCACACTGACCTTTCTCCACATCCCCCACCATGGGCTTTCACTTTTATCCTGTGCTTGAATTTTTTTCACATACAAATTCTTTATACACACACACAGACACACACACACATATCTCACTCTGTCAATGCAGTGGCTGAATCATGGGTCACTGCATCTTCAAATTCTTAGGCTCCAGTGATGCTTTCAAATCAGCCTCTCAAGTAGCTGGGACTACAGGCATGCAAAGCTACACCCAGACAATTTTTAAATATTTTTCTAGAGACTGAGCCTACTTATGTTGCTCAGACTCGTCTTGCACTCCTGGGATCAAACGATAATCCCACCTTGACCACCCAAAGTGTTTAGATTACAGGTGTGAGCTAGCACTCTCAGCAAAAATATATTTTAAAGAACCGTTACAACCAAATTATGAGTTATCATTATGCCACTGCCCTCCACCCTGGGCACCAGAACAAGACCTTGTATCCAAAAACTAAGCAAAACTAAACAAGAACAAAAAAAAAAAAACTTATAAATAAACTTTGAAGATTGTGTCATCTGTGTCCTTCCCTGCCCTCCAAGCTATCAATGTTAAATATAATGGTTATTGAGAAAATGGTTAGATATTATTAAGAAATTTCTATATATCTTCCAGCTGAGAATAGGTATTCTGTTGTGGCCCAAATATTTTCTCACCGCTACCTTCAGGGTCTAAACTAGCAAATCAGGACACCTGCAGAGGACAGTTGGCCGTTTTCAAATAGAAAGAGAAATACCCCCGTTCATGAGAGTAATCCAGTGATTTTCAAAAAGACAAGTCAGACTGACATGCAGCGCAGTCAGGCCACAATTACCCTGGAATAATCACTTCACACAGAATGGTTGAGGAGACTTTCTAAGATGAGCAAATTTGGGCAGCATAATCCTTGCTTATTTATTCCCAGCCCCCACTGCCCGCCTGATTCCTAATGGCTACCCTACAATGTGGTCAGCAGTGGGATGTAGCGTGGTGAGAGAGGGGCTCAGGGACGGGATGAAGGTCTTTCCTGCATTATCAAAATGCAGGTTAAAAAGTTGTTAAAAAGATGTCCAAATGTTCTAATTCCTACTGTTAAATAGCTGCTAAGATGCATTATACAACAGACCCAGGTAAGGGAAGGAGCATGTGCATTTCAAGTCTCAGCTCACTTCTTAATTAGCTGTGATACTCTGGGCAGGTGACCCCAACTATACGAGCCTGTGTGCCTGTCAACCCAAAACAATCCTAAGCAAAAACACCAAAGCTTGGGGCATCTTGCTACCCGACTTCAAACTATACTACAAGGCTGCAGTAACCAAAACAGCACAGTACTAATACCAAAACAGATATATAGACCAATGGAACAGAACAGAGGCCTCAGTAATAACATCACACATCTACAACCATCTGATCTCTAACAAACCTGACAAAAACAAGCAATGGAGAAAGATTTACTACTTACCAAATGGTGCTGAAAGAACTGGCTAGCCACATTCAGAAAACAGAAACTGGACCCCTTCTTTACATCTTATACAAACATTATCTCAAGATGGATTAAAGTCTTAAATATAAAACACCAAACCACAAAAACCCTAGAAGAAAACCTAGGCAATACCATTCAGGACATAGGCATGAGCAAAGACTTCAGGAATAAAATACCAAAAGCAATCACAACAAAAGCTAAAATTGACAAATGAGATCTAATTAAACTAACGAGCTTCTGCACAGCAAAAGAATCTATCATCAGAGTGACCAGGCAACCTACAGAATGACAGAAAATTTTTGCAATCTATCCATGTGTCAGAGGTCTAATATCCAGAATCTACAAGGAACTTAATTTCACACACACACAAAAAAAAAACATCAAAAAGTGAGTAAAGAATATGAACAGACTATTCTCAAAAGAAGACATTTGGCTGGGCGTGGTTGATCAAGCCTGTAATCCCAGCACTTTCAGCCATGGAGGCAGGTGGATCATGAGGTCAGGTGTTCAAGACTAGCCTGGGCAACATGGTGAAACCATGTCTCTACTAAAAACACAAAAAATTAGCATGGTGTTTTGGCGGGTGGCTGTGATTCCAGCTTCTTGGGAGGATAAGGCAGGAGAATCACTTGAACCTGGGTGGCAGATGTTGCAGTGAGCTGAGATCCTGCCACTGCACTCCAGCCTGGGTGACAGAGCTAGACTCCGTCTTTAAAATAATAATAAATAAAATAAATAAAAAGAAAAGGAAGAAGGAGAAGAAGAAGAGGAAGAAGAAGAAGAAGAAGAAGAAGAAGAAGAAGAAGAAGAAGAAGAAGAAGAAGAAGAAGAAGAAGAAGACATTTATGTGGTCAACAAACACACAAAAAGGAAAAAGAAAAAAGCTCATCATCACTGATGATTAGAGAAATGCAAATCAAAACCACAATGGGATACCATCTCACACCATTTGGAATGGCAGTTATTAAAATGTCAGGAACAACAGATGCTGATGAGGCTATGGAGAAATAGAAACGCTTTTACACTGCTGGGGGCGGGAGTGTAAATTACTTCAACCATTATGGAAGACAGTGTGGTGATTCCCTAAGTATCTAGAACCAGAAATACCATTTGACCCAGCAATCTCATTACTGGTTATATACCCAAAGGAATATAAATCATTCTAGCATAAAGACACATGCACTCATATATCTATTGCAGCACTGTTTACAATAACAAAGACTTGGAACCAACCTAATGCCCATCATTGATAGACTGGAAAAAGAAAATGTGGCACATATACACCATGAAATAATATTCAGCCATAAAAAGAATGAGTTCATGTCCTTTGCAGGGACGTGAATGACACTGGAAACCATTCTCTTCAGCAAACTAACACGGGAACAGGAAACAGAACACCATATGTTCTCACTCATATGTGGGAGTTGAACAATGAGAACACATGGACACCGGGAACAAAACATCACACACTGGGGCCTGTTAGGGTGTTGAGGTCAAGGGGAGGGAGAAAATTAGGACAAATACCTAATGCATATGGGGCTTAAATCCTAGACGTCAGGTTGATAGAAGCAGCAAACCACCATGGCACATGTAAACCTATGTAACAAACCTGCACGTTCTGCACATGTATTCCAGAACTTAAAGTAAAACAAACTAACAAAAATGCACTAAGGCTGAGGGGGAGTGGGGGTAGGGGCAGGAGTCAGGCGGGGGTGGGTGAGTCCTGGAGTTTTATCCAGTCATTGACACTGATGTGGGAACAGCCCAATCAGGCGCGCAGTTGGAGAGGACAGGAGAGGAGGGCGTGGCTTCTGGCGTTTGGCGGGTCTTTGTCTCTTGCTGGCGCTGGCACAGGAACTTGGGATCCGTCTCCTCTTTCGCCTCCTCCGCTTTGGGAGCCCCGGGCTACTCTTTCACAGCCCCTGTTGCCCTGTGATCTGTAGGTCCTTGGGGACGCACAGTTAAGATGACAGGACATCCTGGAAGCTGGGAAATGGTGAGTATACGGGGTTCGGCATCCCGAGAGGGGACAGCAGGCTGTGAAACCGGCAGGACCGGCCCCCACGGTTAGCTCCGAGTCTCCCGCAGCTTGGCCCTCAGTCCCCTGTGGCTGCAAGATGGCCGCTGGGCCAGCATCGAGGACCCCCACATCCGGCCTGGCCCATCCGGTGCTGTCCCTGGGCAGCGCCCTGCTCTGCGCCCACAGCCATGAGTATTTCCCAGATTGTTCAGGGAGGCCTGGTGGGTCATCAGGGAAAAACTGCCACTGGGTGTTTGCGTGGGAGGAGCTGCGGCCCGTGGGGTCCCCAGTCTCTCTTGTTAAAAATTAACGGGAGTCTATGTTAAAACGTTAACCAGTTTATCTGAACAAACAGTGATTGGTGAAATGGAAAGCACCCAGCCATGATTTCTGGTCCACCAGAGGGGCATAAAGGAAAGGCTTTCATAAGATGCATGAGAAAGCAGCCCAAATTCAAAAATTGGTTCCAGTTATGTAGTCACCTTATTTGAACTATCCAGATGGAAATGTCCTGGTTACATATTCAGAGGTTAATTGCATGTTTGCCATTGGTTAAACGTGCATTTTGTTTCAGGCTAAGATAATGCTTTATAGGAAATGTATTTGAGTTAGGTTTTAGTTTTTGTTTTTTTTTTTTTAACCTATGAACCCAGGACACTAGAGCCACTTTAGTCTAATTTTCTGCTCTTTAATTATTTTAACACTCCAGAGGAGGACTGGTTTTCTCCTGTGTTTTTTTAATATATGGCAAGTGGAACCTCTAATCGACCACCCTGTTTTTCAGCCTAACTCAGGCTTGTGGTAAAATTATCAGTTCCCACTTTCTTTGCTGCATTCTCAAATGCAACACAGGAGAACAGCTTTCCCTTGCAAATTCACAATGCTGTTAACTATTTGTCCTTTATTATACATTTCATTAAAGTTTTCTATTATTGGATTTCTTTCTACTTCTCCCTACAGTTCTGCCCATATTTGCTTTTTATATTTAGAAGCCTCCCTTTTGGGTGCATAAATATATATAGCTATATTCACTTGACAAATTAACCTCTATTATTATTGTATGGTAAACTCATTTCATGCTTGTGAGAGACATTGCTAGAAAGTCTATTTTGTCTAATTTAAGCATAACTACCATTGAACTCCTTTGGCTATTATTTGCATGGAATATCATTTTCTATCCTTTCACTTTTAGCCTATGCTCTTAATTCATAATTGAGTCTCTTGTAAGCAGCATATTACGAGGTTTAAAAGTTTCATTTATCCACTCTGTCTGCTTTAGTCTCTTTTGGCTGTTATAACAGAATATCACAGACTGGTAATTAATAAAGAACAGAATTTTATTTGACTCATGATTCTGGAGGCTGGGAAGGTAAAAGAACATGTTACTGGTATCTGTTGAAGGTCTAGTTGCTGGATAATAACATGGCCAAAGATGTGAGGGAGAGACAGCTTTTTTTTTTTTAATATATAACAGATCCATTCTTGTTAAAATTAGCCCATTCCCATAATAAGAACATTAATCCATTCATGAGGGCAGAGTGCTTATAGCTTAATTAATTTTTAAAGGTTCCACCTCTTAATTCTTTCACATTGGCCATTTTATCCTAAATTTTGGAGATGACATTCAGTCTACAGAAGTATCTGTTTAGTAGATAATTTAATCTTTTTATTTGTAAGGTAGTGATAGGTAAGCAGTTACTATTGTACATTTGTAGTTTTCTGTCCATTTTAAGTTTGCTTCTTTTTTTTCTGGTTCTGTCTTTCCTGTGGTATTGTTCATTTTTGTTGAGACAAAGTTATGCTTTCTTGCTCAGACTGAAGTTCAGTGGCATATCACAGCTCACTGTAGCCTCAATCTCCTGGGCTCAAGCAATCCTCCCCCCTTAGCCACCCAAGTAGCTTGGACTACTTGGACATGTACCACAACACCCAAGGAGCTTATGATTCTTCCACCTTGGCCTCCAAAAGTGTTGGAATTATAAGCAGGAGCCACTGTATCCAATGTGTAATTTTTGTTGTTTGTGTATGCTTTAATTACTTTCTCTTTTTCTTTACTATGTTTTTTTTTCCCCCAGTGGTTATCATGAGACTTATGTAAAACCTCTTGTATTTTAATAGTCTAGTTTAAGATGATAACAATTTAGAGTATTCTGAATTTCAGTATGTATTTACCATTTTTAGTGACATTTATACTTTAGTATTTTTCATATTGTTAGTTAGCATTTCATCATATCAATGTGAAGATTTCTTCCAGACCTTGGCTGGAGAAGGAAAGAAGGTGTGTTTTGCCTGATTCAGGGACTATAGAGAGAACCAAGTTCTGCAGGCCTGTCACCTAAGTCTCAGATGAGTATGAATTCTTTTGTGTTTTTCACAGATTTTTGCAGTGGCAGGACCAAGTTCAAATGAGTCATAGCCAAGTTTACAGTAAGATGTGGTAGTATTCTGTTTTGAACCGAGGACCATGATTGGCAAGCTTGCCACTTGGTCAAGTGCTTACCCTCTAAAGATGTCTTCCTTGGTCTTTGCCTCCAGCTGGGTGTCACAAACTCTGAACTGGATTCTAAGGCTTTCATGAATGCACTTATGTTTCCCGTGGCAGCTGCATTATGTTGTGGGGGATGTGCATGCCGAACCTCCCATTCTGTCGTCTTGCTTATGTTACTCTCCTTTATGTTTCACTTTCTCAAATGAATGTCAAGCTGGTGATTTTTAGATTCAAAAATTCTAAAATAAATTGCTCAAATTTCCACATTATGTAAGCTATTAATAAAATGTCTTGTAGGTGCTACATATTTATTAAAATTTTTGGTTGTAATTTTAAGCTCACTGCAGGCAGAAAGGAATCATTAACATTTATATTCTTTTTTTTAGTCTGTATCTAAATGATGGTATATTTTAATTCCAGATATTTACTTTATACTGCAGTAATGCTCGTCATATTTTGCAAAATTTATGTTGTTCTTTTATTTGGAAATATAAGGCTTTTTTAGCTCTTGAAATCTATATTATAGTCATATAATTTTATTATGTTTTGTGGTAAGAAGTGCAGCAACATATTGAGAACATAATAAAATTATCCTGTATTTTTAATGATTATTTATTAAATTCCTCTCATTAGAGCCTGTTATTAATGATTGTAATGTATTTTCTGTATAATTTTACTGCAATTTATTAAATTCTAATGACTTAAATTGTCTGCTTTTCATGAGTGCACACAGTTGAATGCTGTAGATATCTAAAGAATTATTTTTCGGCCGGTTGTGGTGGCTCATGCCTGTATTCCCAGCACCTTGGGAGGCCAAGGCGGGTGGATCACGAGGTCAGGAGATCGAGACAACCCTGACTAACATGGTGAAACCCCGTCTCTACTAAATATACAAAAAATTAGCCGGGCATAGTGGCAGGCGCCTGTATCCCCAGCTACTCAGGAGGCTGAGGCAGGAGAATGGCGTGAACTCAGTGGACAGAGTTTGCAGTGAGCCGAGATCGCGCCACTGCACTCCAGCCTGGGCAACAGGGCAAGACTCTGTCTCAAAAAAAAAAATAAAAAAAAAAACGGTTATTTTCCATTGTAAATCTATGTTGTATTCAGGATTTTATGCACGAAAATCTCTCTTCTTATTTTCAAGTCCGTGTTATTGTGTTTCTTTTCTTGGGAGTTATGTTTTCTCAGATCAGTTAAATGTATTTTTATTTTAAAGCTTGATATCATCAGTTGAAAGATAATTTTTAGCTCGGTACACTTTATCTCAATGTGATGTTTAATATATGTGTGAATTAGCTGTGTTTGTTGCTTATAGATATATCTGTATGTTTTTCACTTATGTAAGTATGACATCTTTTTCCTTGTTTTTTTGTTTTTTTCTTTTCAGTTTCAGATAGGCTTTTTTTTTTTTTAAGAGAATTTTAAAACAGAGTCGAAAGAAGAGAAATCAGTTATTTGTCCTCTTGCAGGGTGGGGAGACAACTTCCTTCCCCACAGGTTTGAGGCTATGCCTAAGTGGTGAGTCTTGAGGAGATGCAGAAAGGATCCATCCCAGGCACTTGGCTGGACTTAAGTAAGCATAGCCTTTAGGCCACAAGACCTGATGGTTTGGGTACTGGTCTGGACATAAGTCCCCATCTTCCCAGAAATATCATCTTTTGTCTGCAACAACTGGCTGGAGAAATATTTCAGAAAGATGTGTGTCTGGAACACCCAAAGACATACTTTTCCTTTCTCCTTGGCATAGGCCTTGCAGCACTGAAGAAAGACCAGGTTTGCAATGGAGCCTTCAACAGTCTTCATCCCTATGGAACTCAGGGTCTCATAGGGTGACAGGAGAGGAGACAAAGCTAACTTGGGAAGAGTCTCTGTCCTTCAGCTTCTCCCCTACTGAAACACTATATATTGGGCCCACAGTTCATCACAAAACACACATGCTCTCTTTCTTTCTCTCACACCCAATCTTGGGAACCCAAAAACTTGATGGCAGGTAGCTCTGGGTATCCTTGGTCTGGCATTCACCCACTGGGAATCTAAGCTGTCCTAAAGCTCTTTTCAATCACTTCTCACTGTTTCCAGGCCCATGTGGGTAGGTGTTCCAGGCTTCATTCTTTCAGGCTGATCATAAAGGCACAGTGTGGGAAAATCCCCTACTGTGATGGCCATTGCTGGGAAGCAGGAAAGGCTAAGGGCCCACTGCTGCCCAAGGCTAGTATAGATGCCCTCTGCTCCACTCATGTCCTCAAAGACTGATATCAGGTGCAGCAGCTGCTGTCTGGAATGTTATCAAACCAGGACTGCACAGGCACTGCATTCTCTGTGTGGAAGACGTAAGAAGCAGGCGAGTTGTCCAGGATGAGAGTTTTCCTCAGGTCCCTCCCCAGATGGCTGAGGTCATTGACATAGCAGCCCTGGTGGAACAAACGTGACTCATGGGCTAGGCAACCCCAGAACACCTCACACTGGTCCAGCACACCCATCACAATGTGTCTGGAATTGGTGGGTTCTTGTTCTCACTGACTTCAAGAATGAAGCCACAGACCCTCACGGTGAGTGTTACAGTTCTTAAAGGTGGCATGTCTGGAGTTTGTTCCTTCTGACATTCGGATGTGTTGAGAGTTTCTTCCCTCTGGTGGGCTCGTGGTCTCGCTGGCTCAGGAGTGAAGCTGCAGACGTTCGCGGTGAGTGTTACAGCTCTTAAGGTGGCACATCTGGAGTTGTTCATTCCTCCAGGTGGGTTCGTGGTCTCGCTGGCTTCAGGAGTGAAGTTGTGGACCTTCACAGTGAGTGTTACAGCTCATAAAGGCATTGTGGACCCAAAGAGTGAGCAGCAGCAATATTTATTGCAAAGAGCAAAAGAACAAAGCTTCCACAGTGTGGAAGGGGACCCGAGTGGGTTGCCACTGCTGGCTGGGGCAGCCTACTTTTATTCCCTTATCTGGCCCCACCCACATCTTGCTGATTGTTAGAGCCGAGTGGTCTTTTTTCACAGGGCGCTGATTGGTGTGTTTACAATCCCTGAGCTAGACACAAAGGTTCTCCACATCCCCACCAGTGTAGCTAGATACAGAGTGTTGATTGGTGCATTCACAAACCCTGAGCTAGACACAGGGTGCTGATTGGCATGTTTACAAACCTTGAGCTAGATACAGAGTGCCGATTGGTGTATTTACAATCCCTGAGCTAGACACAAAGTTTCTCCACGTCCCTACCAGACTCAGGAGCCCAGCTGGCTTCACCCAGTGGATCCCCCACAGGGTCTGCAGGTGTAGCTGCCTGCCAGTCTGGCACTGTGCACCCGCACTTCTCAGCCCTTGGGTGGTTGATGGGACTGGGTGCCGTGGAGCAGGGGGCGACACTCATCCAGGAGGCTTGGGCACACAGGAGCCCACCGATGGGGGGGAGGCTCAGGCATGGCGGGCTGCAGGACCCAAGCCCTGCCCTGTGGGATGGCAGCTAAGGCCCAGCGACAAATTGAGCACAGCAGCTGCTGGCCGAGGTGTTAAGCCCCTCACTGCCTGGGGCCGGTGGGGCCAGCCGGCGGCTCCGAGTGTGGGGTCCGCCGAGCTCGCGCTGGCCTTCAAGCACTGCACGCCGCCCTGGTTCCCACACGCACCTCTCCCTCCACACCTCGTCGCAAGCTGAGGGAGCCGGCTCCGACCTTGGCCAGCCCAGAAAGGGGCTCCCACAGTGCAGCGACAGGCTGAAGGGCTCCTAAAGTGCCGCCAAAGTTGGAGCCCAGGCAGAGGAGGCCCGGAGAGTGAGCAAGGGTTGTGAGGACTGCCAGCACGCTGTCACCTCTCAACAGGATCTGCATACTTGTTCAGTCTGGAATGAAGAGAGCAATGAAGAAAACACATTTAAACAGTTCCTCCAGTCATCTCAGGAACTCATCCATATAAGGCCTCATGGTCCCCTCAATCTTTACAGTCACTAGGCAGTCAGCATTGCTGATTGGCTTAATGGAGCTATGCACAAGGGTTTCATCCATGTCAGTGACCATACAGATCGTTCCTTGATTTTTCTCTGTCACCTCTGGGAGCAGGCAGGTCCCTGGGATCTGATAAAACTGATACTGGAGACACTTGAGCTGATCCGACTTAGCAATGGTGTTGACTCCCTCCTTATGTGTGGAGAACTCAGTGGGGGAACTTGACTTGCCAACATGCTGGGTGCAAGAACAGCAGAAAGGTACCTTCTAAGATGTCACAAACATGAGGCCTCTTCGGAGAGCACTTTGGAAACCAGGCCTTGCTTGCTAAGGACCAGGGCATCTTCCCTCCATGCCTGGGTGGTGATGGAGCCTGGTTCCATCTAACAATCCTGAGGGCTCGGCTGGCTGGGTGGGAAGACAGCGGGCACGTTGGCTGGACTGGGCTGGGGGGCATGGGCTGGGGCCTGATTCAGTTCCCGAGAGTCTGACTTCCACAGCTGTTCACATACCCCTTCTCCTTTCCATCACAGGCCGGGAAGAGAGGCGGCCTGTAGGGACGGTGGATGGCCTTGGCAGCAGCTCCCCAGGGTGCCCCCAGCCCCAAATCCCCCAGCAGGAGCTTCAGGATCTTCAGTTTGGGTCTAACCTAGGGAATCCACCTCATACTCATGTTTTTTCAAGTTTTATTTTAAGTTCAGTGGTCCATATGTGATAAGCTTTTTTTTCAACTTTTATTTTAAGTTTAGGGGTCCATGTGCAGGATATGCAGGTCTCTTACATAGATAAACGTGTGCCATTGTGCTTTACTGCACAGATCATCTCATCACCCAGGTACTAAGCCCAGCATCCGCAGCTATTCTTCCTGCTGCTCTCCTTCCCCTCCCCCATGCCATGAAACAGGTGTCCAGTGTGTGTTGTTCTTCCTGATGTGTCCATGTGTTCTCATTGATCTGCTTCTGCTAATAAGTTAGAATAATAATAGGTGGTGTTTGGTTTTCTGTTCCTGCATTAGTTTGCTGGGAGTAATGGCTTCAAATTCCAACCATGTCCCTGCAAAGGACATCATCTCATTACATTTTATGGCTTCATAGTGTTCCATGGTGTATGTGTACCACATTTTCTTTATCCAGTATATCATTGATGGGCATGTAGATTGATTACATGACGTTGCTATTGTAAATATTGCTGCAATGAACATATGTATACATGTTTATTTAAAATAGATTTATATTCCTTTGGGTGTATGCCCAGTAATAGTATTGCTGGGTCAAATGGTATTTCTGCTTCTAGGTCTTTGAGGAATCTCCACACTCTCTTCCACAATGCTTGAAATAATTTACAATCCCACCAACAGTGTAAAAGTGTTCCCTTTTCTCCACAACCTCACCAGCATCTGTTTTTATTTCTTTTTTACTTTTTATTAATAGACATTGTAATTGGTGTGAGATGGTATCTCATTGTTGTTTTGATGTGTATTTATCCAGTTATCAGTGATGTTGAGCTTTCCATGTTTGTTGGGCACATGTATGTCTTCTTTTGAGATATGTCTGTTCATGTCCTTTGACCACTTTTTAATGGGGTTGTTTGTTTTTCTCTTGTAAATTTTAAGTCCCTCATAGATTCTGGGTATTAGATATTTGTCAGATGAATAGGTTGCAAAATTTTTCTCCCATTCTCTAGCTTCTCTGCTCTGATGATAGCTTCTTTGGCTCTGTGGAATCTCTTTAGTTTAATTAGACCCCATTAGTCAATTTTTGCTTTTGTTGCTATTTCTTTTGGTCTTTTTGTCATCAAATCTTTCCTCATGACTATATCCTGAATGGTATTTTCTAGATTTTTTCTTCTAAGGTTTTTATAGTTTTGGGTTTTACATTCAAGTCTTTAATCCATCTTGAGTCAATTTTTGTCTATGGTGTTAGGAAGGGTTCCAGTCTTAATTCTCTGCACATGACTAGCCAGTTATCCTAGCACTATTTATTGAATAGGGAGACTTTTCCCTAATTCCTTGTTTTTGTTGACTTTGTCAAAGATCAGTTTGTTGTAGGTTTTTGGCTTTATTTCTATGCTCTCTATTTTGTTTCATTTGTCTATGTGTCTGTTTCTATACCAGTACCATGCTGTTTTTGTTACTGTACTCTTCTAGTACAGTTTGAAGTTAGGCAATGACCCTTTCAGCTTTTTTTTTTTTTTTTCTTAAGGTTGGCTTGGCTATTTGGGCTCTTTTTTGGTTCCATTTTAATTTTAAAAAGTTTTTTTTTTCTAATTATCTGAAGAATGTCAGTAGTTCAATGGGAACAGCATTGAATCTATAAATTACTTAGGGCAATATGCTCATATTCGTGGTACTGATTCTTTCTCTCCGTGAGCATGGAATGTTTCTCCATTTGTTTTGTGTCCACTCTGATTCCTCTGAGTAGTTGTTTGTAGTTCTCCTTGAAGATATCCTTCACTTTCCTTCTTAGCTGTATTCCTTGGTATTTTTTTCTCTTTATAGCAAATGTGAATGAAAGTTCATTCATGATTTGTCTCCCTGCTTGCCTGTTGCTTGTGTATGGGAATGCTAGCTACTTTTGCAGATTGATTTTATATCCTGAGATTTTGCTACTGCTGCTTATCACCTTAAGAAGCTTTGGGGCTGAGACGAAGAGGCTTTCTAGATATAGGGTCAGGTCATCTGTAAACAAAGATAATTTGACTTTCTCTCTTTCTATTTGAATACTGTTTATTTCTTCCTCTGGCCTGATTTTCCTGGACAAGTTTTCCGAATGGGAGTTGTAATGCGAGTGGTGAGAGAGAGCATACTTTTCTTGTGCCGGTTTTCAGGGGGAATGTTTCCAGCTTTTGCATATTCAGTATGATATTGGCTGTGGGTTTGTTGTATATGGCTCTTCTTATTTTGAGGTATGTTTCTTCAGTTCCTAATTTATTGAGAATTTTAAACGTGAAGGAATGTTGAATTTTATTGGGTGCTTTTTCTGCATCTATTGAGGTAATCATGTGGTTTTTTTATTTAGTTTTCTTTATGTGATGAGTCACATTTGTTGATTTGCATATGTTGAATCAACCTTGCATCCTGGAGACAAAGCCAATTCCATTGTGGTGGATGCACTTTTTAATGTGCTGCTGGGTTTGGTTTGCCAGTATTTTATTGAGGATGTTTGCACAGTGTTCATCAAAGACATTGGCATGATGTGTTGTTGTTGTTGTTGTTGTATCTATGTTAGGTTTTGGTATCAGGATGATGCTGGCCTGATAGAATGAGTTAGACAGAACTTCTTTGTCTTCAATTTTTTTTGGATAGTTTTAGGAGAAAATGTACTATCTCCTCTTTACCTCAAGTCAAATTCAGCTTGCTTGGTAGGCTAGTTCTTACTGTCTCAATTTCAGAACACATTATTGATCTATTCAGGGTTCAGTCTTGTAGAGAGTTTATTTTGCAAGGAAATTGTCCATTTCTTCTAGATTTTCTGGTTTATGAGCATAGAGGTGTTTATAGTATTCTCTGATCGTTGTTCTTATTTCCATGGGATCAGTGATGATATCTCCCTTATTATTTCTATTTGTGTTTGGTTCTTTCTTTTCTTATTTATTTGCCTAACTAGTGTTCCATCTAGTTTATAAATTTTTTTTTTTTCATAAAAACAGCTCCTGGATTGGTTGAGTTTTTTTTTTTTTTTTTTGGAAGAGTTCTCAGTGTCTCTATCTCCTTCAGCTCTACTCTGATCTTGGCTATTTCTTATCTTCTGCTAGCTTTCAGGTTTGTTTTCACTTGGTTTTCTTGTTCTTTTAACCAAGATGTTAGGCTGTTAACTTTAGATCTTTCTAATTTTTTTTTTTCTTGTGGGAGAGTTTCACTCTGTCACCCAGGCTGGAGTACAGTGGCATAATCTCGGCTCACTGCAACCTCCACTTCTCGGTTTTAAGTCACTTCTGCTGTCTCAGCCTCCTGAGTAGCTGGGATTACAGATGTGAATCACCACACCTAGCTAATTTTTGTATTTTTTTGTAGAGATATGGTTTTGCTGTTGGCCAGGCTGGTCCTGAACACCTGGTCTCAAGTGATCTGCCTACCCCAGCCTCCCAAAGTGCTGGAATTACAGGCATGAGCCACCATGACCGGCCCTTTCTAGCTTTTTGATGTGGACATTAGTGCTATAAATTTCCCTCTTTTCTTGGTTTCTAGTGATTATTTTATTCTATCTTGGTGAGTAGTCAGGGAAATAATCTTAAATTTACAATCAACTTATAGTTTAAATCTAAATAATTAAGTGAGAAGAACCCTTTGTTATTTGAAGGGGATGTTTGAAGATTTTGTAACCGTGCCTTTTAGGTAGTCCTAAATTTCTAATTGTAGTTAAAAACATGCCATTTTCATTTCTAACATTTTAAGTATATGGTTTAGAAGTGGTAAGTATAGTTCTATTTTTTTTTGCAATAGGTTTTAGATAATTTTTGTCTTACAAAAGTAAAAGTGAATACTCATTAATTCTGAAACAAGTTAGTTAGCTTGCTTTAGTTAGATAGCAAGAGAAGGGTCCCTGGAAAGTCCCTGGCCCTTGGGTCAGTGTCTCATCCCTGCATAATATAAAAGGAATCCTGGAAAAAATCAAGCTGCAGACACTAACAAGGTAACTAGCACATGGTGTTGTGCTTGGAGACCTGCCCATGGCTGCACAGACAGAAAAACCTCTGGCATATTTGGATAAAAACTTGTACAAACCTCCAGCTCACTGAGATAAGGGAACAAGACCGACCTGGCATAGAAATGCCTTTGTTTGTCCAGGCACAGTGGCTCATGCCCGTAATTCCAGCAATTTGGGAGGCAGAAGTGGGCGGATCACCTGAGGTCGGGAGTTCGAGACCAGCATGACCAACATGGAGAAAAATACAAAATTAGCCGGGCATGGTGCCTCATGCCTGTAATCCCAGCTACTTGGGAGGCTGAGGCAGGAGAATCACTTAAACCCAGGTGGCGGAGTTTGCTGTGGGCCGAGATCGCACCATTGCACTCCAGCCTGGGCAACAAGAGCAAAACTACGTCTCAAAATAAATAAATTAATAAATAATAAGAAAGTACATCTCAAAAACAAAAATGAAAGAAAGAAAGAAAAGAAAAAGAAAAAAAGAAACGCCTTTGTACTTTGTGCAGTCAGTGGGCTCCCAGGAAAATGTTTCTTCTCCTTTTGTGGGCATAAGCACAGTGGGCTCTGGTGCATTCCGGTCGACACTCTCCTTTATTTGGACTGTAAGTCAGACCTCTGTGAATAATTACTTCAGCCCCTGATTGCTCCCGGGACAAGCTCCTGCGCCAAGCTTTCACTTTAGCTTCTGATAAGTCCTGGGCCAATCTAAATAGCATCTATGAATCATCCCTTCAGCTCCTGATTGGTCCCGGGTCAAAGTCCTGGGCCAAGCTGAGCCACACTTTTTTCAAGACAGCCTGTTAACTAGGCACATTTCCTTCTCTTCCTTTCCCAGTCCATAAAAACCTTGGGCCCCAGCCTCACAGAGGTCACCCCATTCAGAAACTATCTCTGCTGGCAAAGAGCTTTCTTCTCTTGCTTATCAAACTTTCACTCTAACCTCACCTTTGTGTTCACGCTCCTTAATCTCCCTAGAAGTAGAACAAAGAACTTTCGATGCTATCTCAGACTATGAGAGACTGTTACATCTTGGTGCACTGCTGAGACTACAACACTTGGTTTCTTTGAGTTTGACTAAATATTTTACATAGGTGTAATTATACAGTTTTCCTTTTTGACTGTCTTGTTTTACTTAACAGAATGTTTTCGAGATTTGTCCTTATTGTAGTACTTTTCAAGATTTCCTTATTTTTAAGGCTGAATGCTATCCAGTGAATATACGTGCCCTGTTTGTTGAATCTACTCATCCTTAAAGGTACATTTGCTTCCAGGTAGTATGTTTGTGAGTAATGCTACAGTGTACATAAATGTGCATATATCTATTCCATGTTCTGCTTTGCCTGTTTGGGATATTTTTCACACACTGATTTAGTACCATGTGTATTCCCTTGCTTTTGTTGTCTGATTCGTTGATGTTACATCCCCCAAATTATTGCCGAGACCAATTGTCATGAAGCTTCACCCTTCTGTATTGTGCTAGGAATTTTACAGCTATAGATTTTACATTATAGTCTTCATATTTTAAAATTGACACATGTAATTGTACAAATTTTGGGGAAACAATTATGTATATATGTTGTATAGCAATAAAAATCAGAGTACTTAGTGTAATTATTGCCTCATACATTTGTTATTTTTGTGGTGAGAACATTCAAAAGCTTCTTCTCTAGCTATTTTTTTATATCTTTATATATTAACTTTTTTTAGAGACAGGATCTTGCTCTAACACACAGATTGGAGTGCAGTGGTGCAATCCTAGCTCACTGTAACCTCAAACAATCTTCTAACCTCAGCTTCCCAATTAGCTGAGACTACAGGAACCTGCCTCCATGCCTGGATAATGTTTTAATTTTTCATAGAGACAGGGTCACACTATGTTGTCCAGGCTCATCTTGAACTTCTGACATCAAGTGATTCTCCTACCTCATTCTCCCAAAATGTATGGATGGCAGGAATGTGCCACCACAACTGGTCTCTTTTAGCTATTTTGTAATTTGAGATAACTTTTCATTAATTATTATTATTCTGCTGTGTAACAAAAAACAAAAACTTATTTCTCCTATCTAATTGTAACACAATACTTTTGAAGCTGCCTTTTCCCATCTCCCTGCTTCAGTCTCTGGGAACCCCTGTTGTACTCTTTGCTTATATCAACCCTTTTTTTCAGGTTCCTCAAATGAGTGAGATAATAAGATCATAAAGTATTTGTGTTTCTCTATGTGGCTTATTTTACTTAACATGGTATGCTCAAGGTTCATCCATGCTCTTTTAACTGACAGAATTTTATCCTTTCTTATAGCTGAATAGTATTTCACTGTGCATATATAGTACATTTTCCTTATCCATTTATCTGTTGCTGTACATTTGAATTGATTCCATATATAAGCTATTATAACTAGTTCTGTAACTAACATGGAAATGCAAATATCTTTTTGACACAGTGATATCCTTTCTTTTGTATATACATGCAGGAGTAAAATTGCTGGATCATGTAATACATCTATTTTTAATTTCTTTCAGAAACCTCCATAGTATTTTCTATAGTGGCCATACTAATTTACAATTCCACCAACAATGTATACATTCACTCATTTTATATCCTCATTAGTACTTGTTTTATTTATTTATTTATTTTTATTATAGCCATTCTAAATGGGAGTGAGGCGGTACCTCATTGTGGTTTGGATTTTCATTTCCTTAGTGATTAGTAATGTAGAACATATTTTTATGTTCCAGTTAGCCATTTTTGTATCACTTTTTGACAAACATCTATTAAGATCTTTTGCATTTTTTTAATTAGATTATAAGTGTATTTTATTTTGAGATTTTAAAGTTTCTTATTTATTCTGAATATTAGCCTTTTGTCATATGTATAGCCTGAAAGCATTTTCTTTTATTGCCTAAGCTGTCTCTTCAATCTTTTAGTTTTTTTAATATGGAAAAGCATTTTAGTTTGACATAATGTTGTTTGCTTATTTTTGATTTTGTTGCCTATGTTTTGACATGTTATTTTAATAATCCTTTCCCCGTCGAATGTTATAAAGCATTTTTTAGTTTTTCTCTAATAGTTTCATAATTGATAGCATTACATTTAAGTCTTTAGTTTGAATTGATTTTCATATATGGCAAGGCACAGGGGTCTAGTATAATTTTTCTGAATTTAAATATTTAAATGGCCCTGCATCATTTATTGAAGAAATTAGCTTTTCCCTAAAGTGTGTTCTTGGCAATTTTGTTGACAATCAGTTGGCTTTAGGTGCATAAACTAACTTCTGGGCTTCTTGGGCACATTAGTCTATGTGTTTGTTTTTATGCCAGTACAGTGCTCTTTTGGTTACTATAGCTTTGTAGCAAGTTTTGAAGTTTGATAAAGTGATGCCTTTAGCTTTGCTTATTTTGCTCAAAGTTATTTGTCTATTCAGAGTTTTTTGTGGATCCACATAAATTTAAAATATTTTTTCTATTTCTGTGAAAAAATGTCATTGATATTTTGATAAAAATATTACCTCCCACAGGGTCCCTCCCAGGACATGTGGGGATTATTACAATTTAAGATGAGATTTGATTGGGGACACAGAGCCAAACCCTGTCAATTACTTAAATCCAGGAGTTCGACACTACCCCGGGCAATATTGTGACAAGCTATTGGTAAAAAATATTTTCACAGATTACTCAGGCATTGTGGAATGTTCCTGTAGTCTCAGGAAGTTGGAGGCTGACGTAAGATTATTCCTTGAGTTCCCCAGGAACTTGAGGCTGCATTGAGCTATAATCATCGTATTGTATTCCTGTCTGGGTGAGAGAGTAAGACCTCTTTTTAGAATTTCAAATTTATTTTAGATTTAGGAGGTACCTACACAGGTTTTTTACATGGGTATTTTGTATAATGCTGAGGTTTGAAGTATGAGTAATTCCATCAATCAGGTAGTGAGCATAGTACTAAGTAGACAGTTTTTCAGTTCTTGGTCCCTCCCTCTCTCCACCCTCTAAGAGTTGTCTATTATTTTTGTTTTTCTGTCCATGTGTACCCAGTGTTAATTTCCATTTATAAGTGAGAATATGCAGTATTTTCATTTTCCATTTCTGCATTAATTTGCTTTGTATAATGGCCTTTAGTTGTGTTAACGTTGCTGCAAAGGAGGTTTTTTTTGTTTGTTTTTGCTAAGTAGTATTGCTGTACATGTGACACTTTTTAAATTCAATTTACCATCAATAGGCTGGACATGGTGGCTGATGCCTGTAATCCCAGTGCTGTGGGAGGCCAAGGCGGGTGGATCATGAGGTCAGGAGATCGAGACCATCCTGGACAACGTAATGAAACCCCGTATGTACTGGAAATACAAAAGTTAGCCAGGCTTGGTGGCATGCGCCTATAGTCCCAGCTACTCGGGTGGCTGAGGAAGGAGAATTGCTTGAACCTGGGAGGTGGAGATTGTAGTGAGCTGAGATCGTGCCACTGCACTCCAGCCTGGGCAACAGAGTGAGACGTCATCTCAAAAAAATAAAAAATTACCATGAATAGGCACGTAGGTTGATTCAGGTCCTTCCTCTTATGAATAGTGTAGTGATGAACCAACAAGTGCATGTGCTATTTTGGTAGAATAGTTTATTCTCTTTTGGGTATATACCCAGCGGTGAAATTGCTGGGTTGAATCACAGTTTAACTCTCAGTTATTTGGAAAATCTCCAAGCTGTTCTCCACAGTGGCTGAACTAATTTACATTCCTATTAACAGTGTATAAGTGGTTTTTTCCCTCTAAAACCCCATCAACATCTATTATCATTTTACTTTTTAACAAAAACCATTCTAACTGGTGTACAATGGTGTCTTATTGTGGTTTTTATTTACATTTCCTTGATGGTTAGTGATGATAAGCTTTTTTCATGTTATTTGGCCACTTGTATGTGTTCTTTTGAAGAGTGTCTGTTATTGCCCACTTTTTCATGGGGTAATTTTTTCCTTGTGAATTCTTTAAGTTTCTTATAGATTCTGAGTATTAGATTTTGTCAGGTTCATAGGTTATGAATATTTTTGCCATTCTGCTAGCTTTGGGGTAAGTTAGTTTTTATTTTTCTAGTTTCTCTAAGTGTGATGTTAAATTGTTAGTTTGAGATCATTCTAACTTCTTGATGCAGGTATTTAGCACTCTCAACTTTCCTCTTAACAGAGCTCTTCCTACAACCCAGACATTTTGTTATATTGTGTCTCTTCTATTTCAAAATCTTTTTAATTTTCTGCCTTAATTTTTTTGTTTATCCAAAATTCATTCAGGAGCAAGTTGTTTAATTTCAATATCATTCTGTGATTTTGTGAGATTTTCTTGGTATTGATTTTTATCTTTGTTCCATTGTGGCCTGTCATATTCTGTGAGCAGATGAGAAGAATTTACTTTCTTTAGATGATGTGTTGCATATACTATAAATGTCTATTAGTTTCAATTGATCAAGTGTCGAATCAAACTCCAGAATTTCTTTGTTAAGTTTCTGCCTAGATAATCTGTCAAACACTTAGTGGGGAGTTGCATTCCCCTACTATTATTGTGTGTCTACTTGAGGCTTATTGTAGTTCTAGCAGTAATTGTTGTATAACTCTATGTTCCCCAAAGTTGGGTGCATCTACATTTACGATAGTTAAGTCTTCTTGTTGAATTGAACCCTTTATCGTTACGCAATACCTTTCTTTGTTTTATTTTACTATTAATGATTTAAAGCTATTTTTTCTTAAAAGAGAAACAATTCCAGGTATGGTAGCTTGTGCCAGCACTTTCAGACTGAAGCAGTCGGATTGCCTGAGACCAGGAGTTTGAGACCAGCCGAGGCAACACAGCAACATACTGTTTGTACAAATTTTTTTAAAGAAACTATACAGGAGGGGTAATGTGCACAACTGTGGTCATATTTACTCAGGAGACATAGGTGGCATGACTGCTTGACTTCCGAAATTTGAGGTTACAGTGAGCTGTGATTCCACCAGTGTACTCTGTCCCAGGAGATAAAGTAAGATCCTCTGCATAAAATGAAAAAGTAAAGAAAAATAAAAAGATTTTAAGTTAAAAAAATAATTCCTAGATCTCCACTTCTTTAGGTTCACTTGAATATATATTTTTCTCCTTTGATTAGGTTATATTTCCTGGTTGCTTTTACTTACTGTAGTTTTGTTAAGGTTTTGATCAATTAAGAAACCACTACCTATTTTATCCTTTATGAAAGAGCTTTATACATGGGAAAATTGACAACATTCAGCCACAGTAGTCATACTGGGAGCTTCTCCAATCTGTTGTCAAAATGTGTCTTCTTTGGACTACTGTATGTATTTTCTTGTTAATAAGGTTTACCTCTGTTTCCTCTTAGGAGCCTTTAGTCTCTTCCCTTCGTCACTGTTGTAGGCACTACAGTCTCTGTTGTTGTAAGAAGCATTTATCTTTATTCTCAGTTGACCCAAGCTGTCATTTAAACTCAGTCTCTATTCTCATCAACACTAAATGTTAAAGGAAGCAATTTCCAGTCTTTAGATAACCCCGGTATAACTCAGTAAGTCAGAAGTTTGCATACGCATTTCACTCTTTTTTCTTTCCCAAAGGAGAATCATGGAATGGACAGATTTTTATCTAACTGCGCTGTTCTGTAGTGCACAAATGTGACCAAATTTTCTTCTAAATGTGGTTATGGTTGGCTTTTTTCTCATGTGGGGTGCTACAAACTCAACTGGCTTTGTTCGCCCAATTGTAGTTAAGTTCATATGTCAATGGAGAGAAACAGGATCTCAGGTTCTGCTTCAACTGTCATTGTCTTCTCAGCTGACCTCATTTTGTACATTAGATTTATAAAATATATTTACTTTAATCTCATCACCGAATTTTTAAAAAAATTATTATTTTTCAGCTCTTTTAGCAATATATCCAATCAAGACCCAGAGAAAACAGTACATAGAAGCTTCTTTTCAAAAAGTAATATTGGGAAGATATGGGAGCTCTGGCCTTGAACTTTTACACTTAGGAGAGTGGGAAATTGAAGGATAAGTGTAAACGGCACAAAGTATGCTATGATGAATATACCAGATACACAGCAATTACCTACAGCAAAAATGTCACTGCTAGAAGAGCTCAAAACCATAAAGTATTTTGGAAAAAGCATAATTAATGTTGATTCTTTTTTCTGAACTATATATTTATATAATTACATACCAATAACAATTTTTGAAACATATCATGTTTTTGAAACAAAATTTAGAAAATCGCAATAGTGGCCTAGGCCAGGAATATTTCTTCTAATGCTATCCCTCCCATAGTCCCCCACTTCCCGACAGGCTCCAGTGTGTGATGTTCCCCTTCCTGTGTCCGTGTGTTCTCTTTGTTTAACTCCCTATTATGAGTGAGAACATGCGATGTTAGCTTTTCTACTCTTGTGTTAGTTTGCTGAGAATGGTGGTTTCCAGCTTCATCCATGTCCCTGCAAAGGACATGAACTCATCCTTTTTATGACTGCATCGTATTCCATGATGTGGACATGCCAAGTTTTCTTTATTCAGTCTATCATTGATGGTCATTTGGTTTGTTTCAAAGTTTTTGCTCTTGTGAACAGTGCCATAATAAACATACGTATGCATGTATCTTTATAATAGAATAATTTATAATCCTTTGGGTATATACCCAGTAATGTGATTGCTGGGTCAAATGGTATTTCTCATTGTGGATCCTTGAGGAATCACCACACTGTCTTCCACACTGGTTGAACTAATTTACACTCTCACCAACAGTGTATAAGTCTTCCTATTTTTCCACATCCTTTGTTGTTTCCTGATTTTTTTAATGATCACCATTCTAACAGGTGTGGGATGGTTTCTCATTGTGTTTTTGATTTGCATGTGTCTAATAACCAGTGATGATGTCCTTTTCTTCATTTGTTTATTGGCTGCATAAATGTCTCCTTTTGAGAAGTGTCTGTTCAAATCCTTTGCCCATTTTCGATGTTGTTGTTTCTTTTTTTCTTGTAAATTTGTTTAAGTTCTTTGTAGATTCTACATATCAGCCCATTGTCAGACGGATAGATTGCAGAAATTTTCTCCCATTCTTTAGGTTGCCTGTTCACTCTGATATAGTTTTTTTTGTTGTGCAGAAGCTCTTTAGTTTAATTATATCTCGTTTGTCAATTTTGGCTTTTGTTGCCATTGTTTTTGGTGTTGTAGTCATGAAGTCTTTGCCCATGCCTATGTCCTGAATGGTACTGCCTTGGTTTTCTTCTGGGGTTTTTATGGTTTTAAGTCTTATGTTTAAGTCTTTAATCCATCTTCAGTTATGTTTTGTATAACGAGTAAGGAAGAAGTCCAGTTTCAGTTTTTTGCATATGGCTAGCTAGTTTTCCAACACCATTTATTAAATAGGGAATCCTTTCCCCATTACTTGTTTTTGTCAGGTTCATCAAAGATCAGATGATTCTAGATGTTGAGTGTTATTTCTGAGGCCTCTGTTCTGTTCCATTTGTCAATATATCTGTTTTGGTACGAGTACCATCCTGTCTTGGTTACTGTGGCCTTTTAGTATAGTTTGAAGACAGCTAGCATGATGCCTCCACCTTTGTTCTTTTTGCTTAGTATTGTCTTGTCTATGCAAGACCTTTTTTGATTCCATATGAAATTTGAAGTAGTTTTTTTTCTAATTCTGTGAAGAAAGTCAATGGGAGCTTGATGGGGATAGCAATGAATTTATAAATTACTTTGGGCAATATGGCCATTTTCATAATATTGATTCTTCCTATCCATGAGCATGGATTGTTTTCGTTTGTTTGTGTCCTCTTTCATTTCCTTGAGCAGTGGTTTGTAGTTCTCCTTGAAGTGGTCCTTTACATCATTTTTAAGTTGGATTCCTAGGTATTTTATTCCCTTTGTAGCAATTGTGAATGAGAGTTAACACATGATTTGGCTCTCTGTTTGCCTATTATTGCGTATAGGAATGCTTGTGATTTTTGAACATTGATTTTGTATCCTGAGACTTTGCTGAAGTTGCTTATCAGTTTAAGGAAATTTTGGGCTGAGATGGTAGGGTTTTCTAGATATACAATCATGTCATCTGCAAACAAAGACAATTTGACTTCTTCTCTTCCTATCTGAATACGCTTTATTTCTTTCTTTCTTTTGCTGATTGCCAGAACTTCCAATACTATAATGAATAGGAGTGGGGAGAAAGGGTGTTCTTGTCTTGTGCAGGTTTTCAAAGGGAATGCTTCCAGTTTTTGCCCATTCAGTATGATATTAGCTGTGCATTTGTCATAAATAACTCTTATTATGTTGAGATAGGTTCCATCAATACATAATTCATTGAGAGTTTTTACCATGAAGAGGTGTGGAATTTTATTGAAGGCCTTTTTTGCATCTATTGAGATAATCATGTGGTTTTTGTCATTAGTTCTGTTTATGTGATGGATTTTATTTATTGATTTGCATATGTTGAACCAGCTTTGTATCCCAGGGATTAAGCTGACTAGATCGTGGTGGATAAGCTTTTTGATGTGCTGCTGGATTCGGTTTGCCAGTATTTTATTGAGGATTTTCGCATCGATATTCATCAGGGATATGGGCCTGAAATTTTCTTTTTCTGGTGTGTCTTTGCCAGGTTTTGGTTTCAGGATGATGCTGGCCACATAAAATGAATTAGGGAGGAGTACCTCTTTTTCTATTGTTTGAAATAATTTCAGAAGGAATGGTACCAGCTCCTCTTTGTACCTTTGGTAGAATTCGGCTGTGAATCCGTCTGGTCCTGGACTTCTTTTTGTTGGTAGGCTACTAATTACTGCCTCAATTTTAGAACTTGTTATTGGCCTATTCAAGGATTCGACTTCCTACTGGTTTGCACTTGGGAGGGTATATGTGTCCAGGAATTTATCCATTTCATCTAGATTTTCTAGTTAATTTGCAAAGAGGTATTTATAATATTCTGTAATGATACTTTTTATTTCTGTGGGATCAACGGTTATATCCCCTTTATCATTTCCTATTGCATGTATTTGATTCTTTTCTTCCTTATTAGTCTGGCTAGAAGTTTATTTATTTTCTTGATCTTTTAAAAAAACCAGCTCCTGGATTCATTGATTTTTTGGACGGGCTTTTTGTGTCTCTATCTCCTTCAGTTCTGCTCTGATCTTAAATCTT
Organism: Homo sapiens; assembly: GCF_000001405.40. NCBI lineage: Eukaryota > Metazoa > Chordata > Mammalia > Primates > Hominidae > Homo > Homo sapiens. The sequence goes on along the minus strand of NC_000021.9, from coordinate 6,245,901 downwards.
GTCTTCTGCTAGTTTTTGAATTTGTTTGCTCTTGCTTCCCTAGTTTTTTTAATTGTGATGTTACGGTGTCGATTTTAGACATTTTTCTGCTTTCTCTTGTGGGGATTTAGTGCTGTAAATTTCCCTTTCAGACTACTTTAGCTGTGTCGTATTTTACTTTTTAAGCCCTCAATCTTCCTTTTTCATCGTGATAGTCTTTACTGTTTTATGTTTATGTAATGTAAAATTGACTACACAATTTTTACAAAGATTTTATGAAAATATTTTATTGAGAATGTACAAACCGTCAGTCAATTAGAGGAGAAGTTACACTGTCATAATAAATAGCCACAAAGCAAAACGCCAAAAGACATCCAAATCAGAATAAAACAAAACATTTTAACAAAAACAAAAAGAACAAACTGGCAACAAATATGTGAAGTTTATATTACAAAGATGCTCACTTATCCACTCTAAAGAGAGCTTTTAGAATTTGATTTAAAATACGGCAAAGACATTATCCCACACTTCACAGAAAAAATAAATTTAAGCAGCTGTTAACACATGAATGTATTATCAAGCTCAGATATAATCAAAATTAAATATTTGACAAGAGATTCTACAGTTTGGGAGAAATAGAAGTGTTTTTTTCTTTTCCCCAGGCCCACAAGTCTAGTTTCTTGTTCTTCTTCACTATAATGGGGTTTGTCATCAGCTCCCCAAAATATGGGAAGCACAGAGCAGGTGGTGGCTGAAGGTGGGGTATCCTGTGAAACCATATTTAAGATCAGAGCCCTTGGTCCATTGTGTTGTAATCAGCTGGCTCAGGAAAGAACACCTGGCTGTCCAGAGCTCTACACCTACTGCACTGGGTGTGAAAGGAGGCCTGAGAACCCATGGGTCCCAAACCCACCCCACTCCAAATTATCATCCAGTATTGAGAACTCTGACACCAAATTCTCACAGAGCATATGTTTATGCAGTTTTACATTTAATTTCTCATTACATTACAATTGGGAAACTGAGGCCCCAGAAGAGGCAGAGACTGGTCCAGATCTCAGGAGGTGGGCAGGCTCCAGAGCATTAGAGAGGGCTCCAGCTTCCTAGGCCTTGGCACCGTCCCACTTATCAGGTTTGTTTTCGAAATTAGAGTCTGTAGCTACACATTCAGGAGCACAGAAAATGAGCAGATTCAGGGTTCTGTTCACATGGGGTCCTCTCCATGTCAGTTTCAAGATAACAGGACTGGGGTTCTGCATCCAGCTCTGAGGGCAACTGGAAGTAAAATGAGCTATGCTCCACCTCAGCCTAATGTAGACAGTGCCTACAGGAAAGCTTGTTTTCTTCCTCATAAATAGGGGTGCCTGAAGTGGGTGACCTTGATGATTTCACATACTCATAAGTGTCTGCCAGCCTGGATTCTTGCTCTGAGACTGCAAAAATGCACCCACTCTGCAGATCCTTCAAATCAGAGGGAGGCATGGCCACTTGAGAGGCATCTTGGGTAGATGAAGATGAGACAGAGTTAAATGTGCCAGAGCACTGGACTCTGAGGCTGAGGTCCACGGAAAATCTCAGCTACTGTTGCGTTCTTAAGGTCCTCATTTGAAAGTGGTAGAAAATAATTTCACTGGATAAGGGGAGGATACCTCATGAGTAAATAGCACAACCAAAAAGGTGGAGGCAAAGAGAGGGCAAAACGGGATTCCTAGTTCACTCATTATACTTGGGGCCTTCAGATCCTGCTACTTTATCCCCTAGGACCTTGAAGAACCAGTGTCTTGAGGACAGAAAAATCAAGGTATCAGATTTGTTCAGTAGTGCTCCTGCTTGGGGCTGTAGGGTTAGTGATGGCCAGGAGGTGGTTACAGCCTACTGTGTTTCTGGTGCCCACTGAGCTTTGCTGGAGCAGCTGGAACAAGTAACAGTCACACACCTCATGTTGTTATCAGTGATGTCCACATTATCAGGTGGTCAAAAGGGGAAGGGATATTAGGGATCCCCCATATAATCACTTAGCCAGTCTTTTTTCCCTTGCGCTCACCATTTGCCAGCGACCCTGGTGGGTCCAACATGTGGTACAGAAAATTATTACTTCATGTCTGCACCCCCCAACCCAGGACCAAACAATCTGAGGACCGCTGGACAAAAGCACTAAAGCAAGTATATGTGAAAGAAAAGAGCAAGGACTATAATATAAAGTAGATTATTGAGAAGAAAACCTGGAAAATTATTGCATGGGAGGACCTCAGGCCTCACTGAGGTGACTTTTAATCCATGATGAGGATGACAGCAGGGAGGCATCTGCACAAGCATGTGTCAGGGAGAAGCCACCCTTAGTGAAAAAACTCATAGGTGTGAGTTTGGCAGAGGTAAAAAGGGACTAGTTTGGCTGCAGACAGCCTGAGAAAGAGATAAGCAGAGGGATGGAGAATCCTAGGGCCTGGGAGATGAGGTTAGATATCTGCTCCTTTCTGACAACATTGCCCTAAAAGTCAGCACTTTTCAACAACATATAATATCTCATAATGTGTGTGGACCAGAATCTGGACACAGCTCAGCTGGCTACCTCTGCCTTCAGGTCTTTTATGAGACTGGGGGCTGTGGTCTTAACTGAAGCTGGACTGGGAAAGCATGAGCCTTTAAGCTGACTCATGTGAAAATTGACAGGGTTTAGTGTGGCTGGAGAGCCTGACTTTCCTTCTCTCTACTCGTCTGAGCACCCTCTCACCCTTTGTTATGTGGGTCTCTACATGGAGCATCTCATAGCATTGGAGCTTGCTTCCTGTGTTTGAGGAATACAATAGACAGAATTAGACAAAAAGGTTTACACAAAAAGAGACAGAAAGATCGAGGGCGCAAACGAGAAAAACCCAGTAGGAGAAAAATTAGAGCTTTAAAAACATCTTGACAGGGTGCGGTGGCTCACACCTGTAATCCCAGCACTTTGGGATGCTGAGACGTGTGGATCGCCTGAGGTCAAGGGTTTGAAACCAACCTGGACAACATGGTGAAACCACCGTCTCTTCTAAAAATACAAAATGAGCTAGATGTGGTGGCGCATGCCTGTAATCCCAGCTACTTGGGAGACTGAGGCAGGAGAATCAATTGAACCTGGGAGGCAAAGGTTCCAATAAGCCGAGATCACACCACTGCACTCCAGCCTGGGATACAAGAGTGAAACTGTGTCTCAAAAAAAAAAAAAAAAAAAAAAAAAAAGAAAGAAAGAAAGAAAGAAAAAAAACTTGAGAGTTACTATAATTTTTCTTCTATATTTGTGTTAAAATTGTAACCCCGGGCGTAATGCTATAAGGAGGTAGAATGTAATTAAACCCTTAGGGTGGGACCCTCATAATACAGATTACTGGCTTTATACAAGAAACCGCAGAGGGCTCTCATCCTCCTGCAAAATGAGGGTAAAACCTGAAGTGTGCAGGCTGAAATTCAGAAGCCAGTCATCACCAGATCTCAACCATGCTGACACCCTGATCTCAAATTTGAACCTCTGGAGGTATGAGAAATTAAGTCCTGTTGTCTATATGCTGCCTATCTATGGTTCTTTGGCATAGCAGCCTGAACTAATACAAAAGTGATATCCTTTTCTGTGTTTCATTGGAGAGAAGCTGAATTTGTACCCCCTATACTGTTAAAAAAAAAGACTTAAAAAATGGATCTTCAGAATGAAAGATAGGAAACGGCTTGTTGAAACACTAAAAATTTAACTGCTATAAGTTTTTTAAACATTGGCTGAAATTGTTGGAACCAATATTGCCAACTGAAGTCCATGAAGCATCACTTTGCAGACTTTGGAGCCCAAATTTCCATTGTGTGCTTCATACTAACTCTCCCTGAATTTGTATGTGACCTGTGAGGAAACAAGAAGAGATGACTGTATATGTCTCATGACTTTCCATATTCCTACTTTCCTTCCAGCAATCCCCTACAGAACCCACCTATTAGGCCTTTTCTAATCACTGCCTTAAAGCCAGTATGACAAAACAAATTTGATTTGAACTCCTATCTCCTTGTTAGCCAACATACAAGATGATATTTTCCTCAAAACCGAAGGGCCATAGTACTGGCATCAGGAAGTATTCCATTTTATTCAATAAAAAACTGAGTCACTCAATACCTAGTACTGGGAGACTTTGTGAAGACTTCCTCTGTCATAGACGTGATAAGGCACATGGATATGATTCTAAATATAAAGAGAAAGCACTAGAAAGTTGAATTCCTGTATTAGATCATTCTCATACTGCAATGATGGAGTACCTGAGACTGGGTAACTTATAAAGTAAAGAAGTTTAATTGACTCACATTTCCACATAATTGTGGGGGCACCTCAGAAACCTTCCAATTACAGTGGCTGACAAGTGAAGTGAGTGAGAGCATGGGATGTACCAGATGCTTATGAAACTATCAGATCTCGTGAGAACTCACTATCACAAGAACAGCATGAGGAGAACCCGTCCCCATAATCCAATCATCTCCCCTCAGGTTTTCCCTTAACACCTAGGGGTTATAATACACAATGAGTTTTGGGTGGGGACGCACAGCTAAACTATATGAATGCCAGAGGACAGTATCTACATTTAATTTCAACTTCATACTGGAGCAGAATGAAAATGAGGCCCAGTGGAGAAGTGATATTTCCAAGATCACCCTGGCAGACACCAGGCCTGTTTGAGTTGTGGCCCATGCTACCTCCCACCTATTCTCCTAATGCTTCCATCTCTAAGTGTATGCATTATCTACAGGTGACACTACATCATTATTTTTATGTCTTATCTTATATACACCTAATACATTCCCTAGGAAGTAGATGTTAGCATCATCACCAGTGTGCATGTTAGGAGGCTGGGGAAGCCTTGAATACAGTGACTTTTACTGGGTCCCAGAGATGGTAAGAAAAACAAGGTTATGTTCCAGCTGTCTCTTCTATCCTGGAACCCAGGTTGCATTTAGGTCTTTCCAGGGAATTAAGGGGAAGTTGTGTTTGCATAATTGTGTACAAATAAAGAGTTGACATGGAAGAGGAGACTGAGCAATCAGTAGCATAGTGGGGCCTTTCGGTATGTCTTACAGAAACATGGGGCCCAGTAGATGGAACCTTGAAGAGTTTAACATACTTTCTTGGTGTCAGAACCCAACAGCAGTTAAGAAACCAGGAATCCACATTCTTGAGACAGCTCTGTATCCACCTCTGTTTGTGAGAGTTGCTCAAGAGAGTGAGATGCTCTTTCATTGTGCCCTGAAATTTCTGAGTTTCAGCCTTACAAAGGCTCAATGTAAAAGTCTTATCTGATAACACAGATGTCAACTGAGCCCTCATCACTGATGTCCCTGGCTTTTGGCCGGGTGCACCTACAAATAACACAGGGCAGCCCAGGACAGGCCCCTCCACGCCAGCCTCTCTTGTCAACTCATCTGGGCAGTCCCACACCACTTCTTAGTACCATGAGTTGGATGGGGAGCAAGAGGGAGGGCACTCTTCTTGGACTGAAGTAGATTGTCGGGTGTTGGAACTCTTGTGTACCTGTCATGTTCATACCTAGGCCATAGCTGGCAGAATAAAAAGAAGAGGGTTGGAGAACGAGTCTGTGTACTCAGATGTGAATTCCAAGACTTTAACTTGTCCTCTGGTTTCCTTCCTTCATGGAGATTTATACAGATTCTCCTTATGTGCCTAATCTGAAGAGAAGAATTTCTTTTATTTTCTTTTTTCTTTTTTCCTTTCTTCTTTTCTTTTTTCCTTTCTTCTTTTCTCTTTTCTTTTCTTTCTCTTTCTTTCTTTCTTCTTTCTTTTTTTTTTCTTTCTCTTTCTTTCTTTCCATCTCTCTCTTTCTTTCTTTCCTTCTCTCTCTCTTTCTTTTTTATTTATCATGAAGTCTCACTCTGTTACCCAGGCTGGAGTGCAGAGAAAAGCAGAATTTCTAATGGAGGTGTCACATACGGTCAAAGCAAGGAAGAACACAGACTTTTCTTTGCGTGGTTTCTAGGCACATTTACAAAGCTGCATTCAGATTGATGAGGAGCTTCATCATTCAGTTTAATGTGGCCAACTCCTCCCTCTTTTTGGAAAAAGAGCAGGTGCACTAAACCAGCAAACACAGCCAGCACTGGGCTGTGCTGAGAGCAGCCACATAGGGGTCTCTACAGACAGAAAGCTGAGAAGACAGGGAAAGAAACAGGACCCAGACTCAAATATGAAAAATCTCTGGGCTTTGTCCTACGGCCTTCCCATGAGTAACTCATAGCCTTGTTCCAGTGGAATCTGGCCTTCACTAGTCTCAGTGGCAAGTTGGTTATGTGGAAAGTCTCTCTTCACACACTTGTGCGAATAACGGTAAAGAATTTTGTATAGTTTTCACTTTACATTAGGCCATGAGTATTTATGCCTGTGGCTGCAGTTTGTGTTAGTTTCCGGCCCCACGTATCTCCTGCAGCATGCAGCTTCAGTCCTATCGGACCCTCAAAACTTAAAAGCTAACACTATTACTAGGGAGGATTTCGCAGGAAAATGGAGAAAGGGTTACACACAAAAAAGGTTAAACTACTCTATGCATGTTTCTGCAATGTGTTATCTCAGGAACTCATTTCTGTAGCCCATCAGGGCAGGAGCTGGGCTCTCACCTGTTGATAATATTCCATAAGGGAGGTTCTTCCCCACAGTGTTTAGTCTCCCGACGCTGGTACAGCCTGACATGATGACATTCTACTTTCATGTCGGTCATGCTGCAGGGAAAATTCTGAGTGTTCTAATAGGCTGGAATCATTTGCTAGGGTGAACCCCATCTTTGGTTCTCACTTTTCTGTTATCTTGTAATTAGCTTTATTCTCAGCAAATCCATGTCTATTTTATTTATCTGTTTATTTACTTATTTTTATGTATGGAAAAACACTTTTTTTTATTTACTTATTTATTTAGAGACAGGTCTCCGTCTGTTACCCAAGCTGGAGTACTGTGGTAGAGTGCTGTGATCATGGCTCATTGCAGCTTCAAACTCTTGGGCTCAAATGATTCTCTCACCTCAGCCTCCTGTGCCACCATGCCCTGCTAGTTGATTTTAATTTTTTATAAAGAAGGAGACTCATTAGGCTGCCCAGGCTGGTCTCAAACTCCTGGGCCCAAGCAATTCTCTCATCTCAGCCTCCCAAAGCACTGGGATTAAAAACATGAGCCACTGTACTGAGCTGTGCCTACTTCAAAAGACTGAAAATAAAAAATCAATAAATCTTTGCCAAATTAAAAAACAAAACAATAGTTTCCAGGTCTTAGACAAAGACAATTCTGTGTCATGAAGAGTGGCAAAAGGCTTATTTAGCTGTTAAAATGATTTGCTTATATTTCAAAGAAGCAGAGAAAAAAAGATACATATAAAAGTTTTCCAGGCCAGGCACGGCTGTTCATGCCTGTAATCCCAACATTTGGGGAGGCCAAGGCAGGAGGATCTCTTGAAGCCAAATGTTTGAGTCCAGTACAGGCAACATGGTGAAATTCTGTCACCATAAAAAAATAAATAAAATAAATATGGCTGGACATGGTGGTTCACGCTTGTAATACCAGCACTTTGGGAGTCGGAGGCAGGTGGATAATGAGGTCAGGGGTTCGAGACCAGCCTGGCCAAAATGGTGAAACCCTTTCTCTCCTAAAAATAATAACAATAAAAAATTAGCCAGGCATGGTGCTGTGCGCCTGTAATGCCAGCTACTCAAAAGGTTGAAGCAAGAGAATTGCTTGAACTTGGGAGGCGGAGGTTGCATTGAGCTAAGATCATGCCACTACACTCTAGCCTGGCCCACAGAGCAAGACACTGTCTTGAAAAAATAAATAAATAAATAAATAAATAAATAAATAAATAAATAAATAAAAAGTTAGCTAGGCCTGGAGGTGCATGCCTATAGTCCTAGGTAATTAAGAGGTTGAGGCAGGAGGACTGCTCAAACCCAAGAAGTTAAGGTTATAGTGAGCTATGATTATGCCATTGCACTTCAGACTAAGCAAAAGAGTAAGATTCCATTTCAAAAAATTACTAAAAAAAGTTCTCTAAATTACATTGTTTAAGAAAAGGGAAAAGAAAAAATATCTTTTTTAATTTTCAAATGGGAGAATAGAGCCTCTCATTTCTAATATGTATTTCCTTCTGCAAAAACATGGTCTAGGCCCATGGTCTTGAACTACTGGACATCTGAATTTTAGTAGGTGCTGGATTCAGGCAACTGAGGGGTGGCTTGGACACACTAAGTGCACGTAAATAAAAGGTTTGAGGTGAACTAAAAGGTAAAAGAGGGGAAGGTGCTATTAAGAACCCACAGTTGGGAGACAGTACAGGGTTGGTGGAAGGACTGGTTCATGCTACAGATACTGACCCAGGTGAAACTTTACTCTGACTTATTTCTGTGTCCATGCAGGAAGACGAGATTATGATCAGGTGGCACAGAAACCTGGGATGGTGAAAAAACCAGGTTGCCCCTGCAGATTCGGTGTCTGAGGTAGAACGTATGCCAGGGGTCTTGTAGGCACATGTGTGGGTTTTTGGTGGGAAAGTCTATGAGGAAAGGTAGCATGGGCAACAATCTTGATGCCAAAGCCTTGTCCTGAGAGGGGCTTGGCCACATCAACATGCAGTGTGTATGTTCAGTGGGTGAAAAACCTGTGGTGGCCTCAGGTTGGCAGGAGGGTAGAAGGCATCTGTTCTCAGAACTTCTTCCCTCAGAGTCGTCGGTCCTTCTTACCATGGGAGAATGCCTGGAACCACAGGGCAGTGCATGGTGTAGCAGCCTGTGTGCAGAGCAGAGCCTACCTTCCCCGAGACACCTGGAGTCTCTCTCCAGCAGAGGCCCCCACATTGTCTTTCTCCTTACAACACTTTTGATCCTAAATGTGTAAAGTTCCCTGAAAACCCACTGCTTCTCCAACACCCATTTGTTGCCCCAAAATTTAATTCTGACACAACTTAGAGTTCACACAGATCCCAGAAATTCAGGGCTCAGTCCCACATCACCCCTCTCACTGTAGAGGAGAGTTACACATCCCTGAAGCCCATCTACACTTCTGAGCTACCTCCTATAAATCTGAGACTAGCATAAACCCCTTTTCAAGTTAAATAATTTGATAGAATTACTAAAAAGAAAACCTCAACAAATAACTGTAATTATATTTACTACTTTATTATAAAAATATAACTCAGAAACAGCCAAATGGAAGAGATGTCTAGGGCAAGGAACAGTTGTGGGTGAAGGCAATCCTGGAAATAGCTATATTTAAAGAAATTCCCCCATTCTTTGCATTCTCAAAGAACAGCTTAGTGAAGAGAAACGTGCTTCCCCTGATGACTTTGAGGATGCTCCCTGCTGTTTTTTTAACCTATCACAAAAATGGACACAGATTGCAAATTCCCATTTTTAAAAATGAACAACCATTCAGTAATTTAGTCTTCAGTGGTCCAAATAACATACTCTTAAAGAAACTTTGCTTGTTTCTCTTCTTCCAACCAGCCCCTGAACTTTGACTCACCCACAGCTTCAGCAAACCTACAACCCTTATTTATACATACCCCTCCTAAGAACAGGCTGAGTTCAAGGTGAAACATTATCTTATCTGGGATCGCATTTTGCTACCCTCCATCGTGTGCTTCCTTTCCAACCTTCTTTGTAAACTTGTTTTCTCCTCCCTATGAAATAAGGCCCTTTTCCACCTAACCTTAGAGATACTCAAAGATCTAATCATTTGTACTTTTTCTTTGTTGCAATACTTCTTAGGTAACTTCTTAGACCAAGTCTAGAAACAGTCTGAGGACAATAACAATTCCATTCTAAAAAGAATCTCCCAACATTTCTTCTATCTCAACCTCAACTGCATCTGCCTGTGAACTTCCAGCTTACCAAGGCTCTATATCTTCTGGCAGTGACAAAGGCTCCTTCCATGGTTGGTGTGAGTAGGCTTGGACACCTGCAGGGCAGACACCCAGGAATAATCAACTGGGCCTTCAGTGGTCCTCTTTTGCAGGGTCAAGGTGGGCCTTAGCTTTTAGTCAATGGTCTAAGACTTCTATTTACCAGTTAGTCATTCAGTTAGTTTTCAATTCAAAAAATACTTCATGTTTGAAGAATCCAGCAAAAATTATTCAAATCTAAGATATAAAAGAGAGGAAATTACAGCCGGGCATGGTGACTCATGCCTGTAATCCCTACATTTTGGGAGGCCTAGGCGGGCAGATGACCTGAGATCAGGAGTTTGAGACCAGCCTGACCAACATGAAGAAACCCCGTCTCTGCTAAAAATACAAAATTATCCAGGTGTGGTGTTGTATGCCTGTAATCCCAGCTACTCGGGAGGCCGAGGCAGGAGAATCGCTTGAACCCAGGAGTTGGAGGTTACAGTGAGCAGATGTCTTGCCATTGCACTCCAGCCTGGGCAAGAAGAGTGAAACTACATCTAAAAAATAACAGAATAAAATAAAATAAAAACATTATAAGGGGCTTATATCTTATAATTCATCAAGAAAAGCCAAAGTATCTATCCCTTTCAGAAAATAAACATGTAATTTAATTATGTTCAAAACAAATCATTTAGTAAACAATTAATCATATGTGAACACTTCCAGGAGGTGCAAAGTCCCAGCTCCTAAAACTTAACATTACCCTCAAACACCCAGATGGCAGCATATGGAATAGAGTTATTCACTTTCACAAGTTCTCTCTTTTGAAAAAAAGAATAACTTATGTGATAAATTTATGTAATTTGACAATTAATCTACCTCATGTGCTTGCAGATATGTATTCATTTCCTACCACCGTAGTGGAAGAGAGATTTTCCCTATCTTTACAACTGATAGCATTTCCAACAGTAAGCTGTGAGATTCTGCTTGAAATCACCTCTCAAACAAATAAAAAACAGACCTGGGAGACATGCTACACTCATTCTGCTGAGGAAATAGGTAAGTAACAATTTTTAACAAATGAAATACATTACTACTTAATTTTATTCAAAATTCACCAACTTAATGTGCTTTATAAATATTCTCATACCTTTGAAGCTCTACTGATAAAACATAATTTACAGTTAATGAAAAAGTGAAGTTAAAATAAATACAATCATATTTTCAAGGTGACAAAATTAGAAGGTGACAATGGTGATTGAAACACAGACATATCTGACCCAAGGGTCAAGTCAAGCCGTTCTATTACTTGGGATATTTTCCCTGCTTCTATCTGGTTCAGTGATGTGGGTCATGAGCGTCCTACCAGGAGCTGCTACGCTCTGCTCCACTGTGTCTGTGAGGTGCATTTTACTTTGCAGGTTTTTGCACTGCCTCACTAGGTTGGGTTTCTTTGTCCTTTGAAATATTTTCTCTCCCTTCACCAATCTGAGGACATTTTTTCCTCACTATTCAGCATCCAGTTGCCTGGCATGCAATGTGTCTCTAAGGAATGGAAACTAAGCGTTGGGGTAAGAAATTCTTAATGTCCTAAAGGGTTTGCTTTTAGCGCAAATGTATACGTGGAGATTCCTTCCAGGTATAGTGCATCCAACCACTCCAAAAAGAGGCTGCATTCCCATACCTTGGGCTGTTCCCTGAGAGGAGATGACACAAGGGATGTTATTTACTAGACACTTCAAGAGTCATGGCCAGTGTTGGTATCTTGGGGATTCTCAAACAGTTTTGAAACCCAAAACCAAGAAAATAACACAAGATGGCTGAGGATGTATTGCCCTGTGAGGTTTCTGAAATGAAACCTCAACCCAAAAACATTCTGATGGGGTGTCTGTGCCAAGGGAAGATTAAAGAAAGGGGCACAAATATTTTCTTTTCTTTTCTTTTCTTTTTTTTTACTGTGGATTGTCAGGGGATTATTATCTGCTTTCATGTCCTGTAAAATGTTTACAAATGAAAAATATTTTTTTAAGTGTCATCCACTGCTTTTTGAAAAAATGCAGAATTAAAATACTGTGTCTAAAATGTACAATAAAGAACAGTTGATAATGTTGTGAGTTACACAAGGTTAGTTAGTGTTGGTAAGTGTCAGGAAAGAACTGGAAATTTAAACTCTGACAGCAAGCCAGAGTTAGGCTGGGGTAACAGGGTGGTAGATTTGAGGCTCTTCTTGCCACACATTTGGAAAATGCATGAGAAAACTAATTCTCTTTTGGAGCATTAAAACAACTAAAAAACAGGCAATTGCGTTGAGGTGGCTCTAGTGTCCTGAGCTCTGAGTAGAGAGACAGGCAAAGGCATCCCTAGATCCAAAAAGCTGCCCATTCTTCTCCAGCTGTGCACCTGATTAGATAATTTCCACTCCAGCACCCATGATTGGATATAGTTCAATTCCCCACCAAGCCCCCTCAGGCCATGAGTGACATATGTGATTTGACACTGGATTGAATAAAGCAAGAATTATAAGTTTTTCCTGGATCCTTTTCTGGCAGGGCTTCCTTCATGCACTGGACACTGGCCCTGCCTGTAAAATACTTGCATTTTCATTTGTGTGTAAGATTATTTGTATTTATGAAAAATATATATGTGTTATTCATACATGGAAGCAATATAATGACAATTGTTTTAAAATTTCAGATGTTTTACTTTCCTGGCACATCCAGGTTTTAGAGCAGGCAGCCTGAGATTTCAAAAATGAGGCAATTCTCTAAGAAATAATATGTGAGGCACATGTGAATTTTAAATATTCTAGTAGCTACATTTTAATAAATACACCAGGCATGGTTGCCTGTTCGTGTAGGTTGAACTGTTTGGGAGACTGATGTGGGAGGATCATTTGAGGCAAGGAGTTTGAGACTAGCCCAGGCAGCATAGAGAAAGCCATCTCAACAACAACAACAACAAAATTGAAAAATTAGCCATGCCTGGTGTATGCCTTCAGTCCCAGCTACTCAGAAGGCTGGAGCTGGAGGATCACCTGAGCCTGGGAGGTCAAGGCTGCAGTGAGCCATGATCACACCACTGCACTCCAGCCTCACTGACAGAACAAAACTCTGACTCAAAAAACTGATCTCTGGAAAGGCATTTTCTTTTTCTGCAACGTAGCCAAATAGCTAAATTTGTATTGAAGCCATCCTTTAATTTTTAACAGGGCAAGAATATTTTCTAAGACCCCGAACTCCAGATATGCGATGGGGCAAATCCTGAAGCGTACATGGCTATCTCTCACAGCTAAAGCACCCCTCACCCCTATCCAGCGCTTCTTACCCCTGGCGCAAGAGAGTCACCTGCGGGGAGGAAAACTATCAAAATCCCTTAAACCCAAGTTGTAACCGCACAACTAAATCAGAATCCTTGGAGCTGGATCTGAAAAAAATACGGTTGAAAGTTGTGCAGGTGATTACAATGTGTAGGCAAGCCAGAAAACCATGGCTTTAACGAGCAGCTTTTGTTAGAAATGATTTCTCAAATGAATGTAAAAACGTTTGCTGCTGAATTGTGACCTTTCAATTTTACCTGCTTTTCCTGCAAAGTATATTTTGCAGACCCAGGCTGGCTTGTCCTTCTGTTCATGGTTCACCCAGTGCCGTGTGTGCTCAGTGCATCCTGTGCACGGGTCACTGTGCTGTGTGCGCTGGCCGGGGTGAGCATCATTCTTCGGGGAGAACCTTTCTGAAAACAAAGCTGCAATCCAAAAAGTTAAAACCATGCTACTTACTGTACTGAGGTAAAAATTAAAAGACCTAGGGGACTCTTCCAAAAGTTAAAACGTAAATAAATATCTTGGAACATTAATATACACCTGACGATGTCCTGAGTGAACACGCCCCACTTTAAAACAAAACAAAACATTACTATTATTCTAAAATATTAATTTAGGATTGTTATGCAAATATGTACTATTTAAATATTTATTGATGAATAACATGCATACAGCAATATAGGAACAAAATATTTATGGAATGCTTGATGAATTATTACTAAATAAATACACTTGTGTATGTAAGAATCAGATTTGCTCATGCCCTTGACACTTTCTCCTTCCCAAAGGTAACCAAGACCTTAAGAGCTAAGTGTAGATAAACTTTGTCATTTTCTACACGTGTTTTATTACAGAACATTAAAAACGTATACATAATACAAAAAAAGGATAACAGACCAGTCACCCAGATTTAACAGCTACTAGTCATGTGTCATTTTTGTTTCACCTATACTTCCAGCCATTTCCACCCCAATTTCATTATTTTTTAGCCTTTTTGGATAAAATGTATATTCATTGCAAGGTACAATGTGAACTGTGAATAGTAGAGAGATGGGGTTTCACCATGTTGACCATGCTAGTCTTGAACTCCTGTCCTCAGGTGATCCACCTGCTTCGGCTTCCCAAATTGCTGGGATTACAGGCATAAGCCAATATACTCAGCCTGAGAATTTTTTCATACTTCTAAGAAAGTACAAATCCATAGGGCACATGAGAACTGCAATGTCTATCTACAGTAAATACAGTTTGATAAATAAAATGAAAGGCAATTGACCTAAGGTGAAAAGAAAAACAAAAAACAATCAAAGCATGGGTACTATGTGTCATCTGTAAGAGCATTTGGTTAAGAATAACAAACAAACCAGTTTTATCGTTTTAATAGCCGAAATTGGCAAAATTTCTAGTTTTTCTTTCATAGGAATGCTCTTTGCAAGAAAAAATTTTCATATAGTGAGAGCAAAAATGGCAACCATTTGCAAGTAAATGTCTTATGAAATTAAGTAGCAGATATCAAGCTCATGACCTTCAGATAGTTACCCCTAACTCAATCACTTACATAGCAAGTGCAGATAATTTTCATAGCTCCCTATTAAAATTATATTTGAATGCCCTTACAAATTGTGACTGTTTTTAAATAAAGTTGACCAACTAAAATTTTGTATATGACATATGATAAATTCCCCTTCAAGTCACCTTACATTTACTTAATTTTATTAGGCAGTGTCTGTCTACCACCCAATAATACTTGACGATTCTCCCTCCATTTGCACAGGCATCATAGCTGGGAAACGGATTCACAAGACCCAGGCTGTTCCCTACATATGTTTCCTCCTCCGACATCAGTTCATCAGTCAATCAAGCCATGTGAGAGTGGAGGCCTTGTATTCCCTATTATTCTTGGGCACTCTACTCCAAGTAGGAAAAGGCCAGGAGGTCCTGTTAAAGGATGCACTCAGAGCCCGGGCTCCCTAACATATGAGAGTGCTAACCAGCAGGTGTAGACTTTTCAGGAGTGAAGAATGAGGCAGGCATTCCAAACCTGGACCTTCATCACCTTTTGTTTCATCTCAAGACAATTCTGAGGGACTGTTTTGGAGCGTGTCTGGAAGGTGAACCTTGAAGAAGAGTGTGGGCTTTGATGTGACTCAGTTGAGATCTTTCATGGGGAGGCAGGAATTCAATGCCCAGAATCTGGGCTGGTGTCTTTGAGGTCAGTAGGTTGCGTCTTTGTATCCAAGTCCATTGTTACTAGGTTGGAGGCTGGAGATTCTAAATGGCTTCCAGACCATCTCTCTGATTCTCTTTGGGAGATGGGGTCTGAAAGACAATGTCAGTAGTTTTGGGAAATTCTAGAAAGTGTGCTTGGAAACGTGGGAAGAGCTCTTGCCTAGTGCCTAAATGCTCCATTTGCAGCTCTAGCCAAGTAGATACTTGGTAGGTATAGAGCCGGGTTTGCGTTTATATCAGCAAAACCTATGTCAGAGTTGAAGAAGTAGTCAGGAAAAAGCGTCTTGGTCGCAGGCCGGGGAACATCTTAAAAGCAAACTTCTAGCCTGCTGACTCTTGGCAATGAGTGTTGGATCCTGGCTAAAGTGCCTTGAATGCAGCATGAGGCCAATCCATGAATCCAACTTCTCATGGAGAAATGTTAATATTTTTTCAGTTTGAATCAATCAGGGTGAAACTACCATGCTATTGGTTTGCTTACTTTTTATTATTTCATGTAAAATCTAAGACAAAATACATTAAATGCTTATTGACATATGTATTTATTCTTCACCAGGCTGATAATATCTGCCTAATTTTAAACTTTCTTCCATTTTGTAGGTTTCAACTTATTCTATTGTAAGATACTGTTAAATCTAATAGAGGCATTGTCACTTTTACGTATAATTTTATTTTATTTCATATATTTCCTATTGGCTTTTTACATTTAAATTATGGAGCACTTCATCATATAAAAAACTTCAATTATATTTAAACAGTAAGTCTTTGGATTTTTTTGCCTTGTAATTTCCATATTACATAATAATGAGATAAACATTAATGTTTTCAGGGTACTTTAAATTTTAGATAATTACTCATTGTATTCATGTGAAATTTGTTTTTACTGCATGTGTGGGTTGGAGGACTGTTTTCACTTCTGATTCATCTTTACTCTTATCTCATCAGAGCTCATACCTCTTGTAGTTGGGGGATTGCAGTTTATAATTCCAATAAATGGGGCAAATTCAATAATAACATAATACAAATGAGTTTGAATGCAGGACAGGTCTTCAAAGCATACACAACATGGGCCTACATATGTACAACAATAATAATTTATAAGTTACTGTTTGGATGGAAAGTAAAAGTACAGAAAATTTGTTAAAGGAAATTAAAATGGAGATCATGTCTCAATAATCTCTGAGCAGACAAAATTAGTTAGGTCTCATAAGTGATCTCAACCTCGCTTGATTTGCAAATACAAACAAAACTTAAATTATTTCTTGTAGCTGCATATTGAAAAAAGAGAAATGAAGCTCAACCAGTCAGAAGTAGCCAACAACCTTATATAAATAGAAACTGTCCAACAAGGTAAACAGACAAACAAAAAACAATAAAAAAAGTTGTGCTACCACCAAATGATTTCTTTGTTTCTACATTTTTCAAATAAATACTTGCTTCTTACACTGTCAATGAAGCACTCAATATCTTTCCGTCTGATATTTTATAATTTATCAATTGCTCTTACTCAAATAAACACTTTGCAATTTCATTGTGTCTCAAATTACTTTTTAGCAGAATAAACTAGGAATAAATATTACAAAAATATCTACGGAATATGGAAAAAACATAGAAAGTTTATGAAATATATGAATGTAGACATAAGCAAATAGACAATTTGTATCATATTCTTAGGCAGAAAAACTCAATATTATCAACATCAATTGTCCTTATAGTTATTTATAAATTCAATTTTGTTCCTATACTGATACCATTAAATATTGCAAGTACACGTTACTATAAAATGTTATATAGATGAAAACACAAACAAGAATAGACAAGAAAACTCTGAAAAAAAAAAAAACCACTGGCAAGCCCTGTGTAAAATCTTGATTGATTAAAAAACTCATGGATCACTGAAACTAAAAATTCAGAAATAAACCAAAGTGTCTAAGAAAGTGTCATAGTGCATCTTGGCTGCTATACCAAAATACCTTAGACTGGGTAAAGGATAAATAAGAGAAATGTATTTTTCACAGTTATGGAGTCTGGAAAGTGCAAGATCAAGGCAGCAGCAAATTTCGTATATGGTGAGAGCCCTATTCCCCATAGATGGTACCATCTCGCACATGGGACAAGGGCATTCCCTTCAACTTCCTTTGAAAGAGCACTGATTCCATTCATGAAGATGAAGAACTCTTGGCTTCACCACTTTCCCAAAGGCCTCACGCCTAAAATTATACACATGAATTTGAAAGGGGACATAAACATTCAGGCCATAGCAATAAAAACTACATGGGTGATGGCATCATTTATACATGAGGTGTAAAAATGTGATGTTCTTATCACAAAGGAAATAAATGATTTATTCTTCATGGCATATATCAAAATGAAGGTCCAATGAAAATATTTTTTATGAAGATAAATCTATATGGCAAAAAATTAAGTATTGATAAGTTTAACCCTACAGGTTGCATCAGGATTTTCAAGGTTTCCAGGGATGAGCAAGGCCCTGGAGTTTCCTCCTGTGACATTTTCCTGAAAGTTGCTCATGCTGTTATTCAATTTGAAAGTAGATAATATTGTTTGTTTCTCTTCCAATATTTACTAAATTCAAAATAATATAGGGCTCTTTACTCATAATTCTCAAACAATCATTCAGTCAGTGGGGCTCTGCTGAGGAAGAGCACAGACACATCCACACAAGTATAATGTTCCTCAAATAGAGGACTTCTCCTTGTGCTGGAGCCACCTATGTTGCACTCGATCAGAGGCTTTCCCAGGATAGCATTTCTCTGCAGCCCTACCTCAGTCTTAACCCTGAAAATCCCACTCAGAAGGCGACGGATGAACACCCACCCTAGCATTCTAATCTAATGGATCCTCTCTTAACAATCCCTTCCAGGGATCTGGGATCTTTCCTGGATTCGTCGGCCACACACACCTAGGCTCAAAAATTTGGACAGAAACTTTGATCCTCATTGGCCCTCCTGCCCTGTCCTACCAGCTTCTCTAGAAGTATGCTTCTCTAATTGCTCCTTAGAGACACTATCTAAGGGTATCAACCTGTGCCAATATAATTGATCTCATAAAGTGAGAAGGGAAATAGGCAAGAGTCCAGCTAGCCTAGAAGCAGTGTCTAGGGTTCCTTACCTGATTTATGTCTCTGATTTACCTAAATATTGACAAATACAGATTCACCTCTAGGCAGTAGAAAAACAGAAGGAGAAATCCCAGTTCGTAGAGGAAGAAGAAAATGCAATCAATGCTGTCTAGAGTCCCGCTTAAGCTCAGCCACAGGGTACTAAGTCTCTTCAGGAAAAAGCAATTGTTGTCCATCATCTGAAAAACTGTGGCCTGGAACCATGGGCACCGAGAGTGCACACTGCCCACTAGAGTTCCATGCCTACATCACGGAGAGATAGAATAGTCTCAAAGGATTCTTAAGAGTAATGTGGGGACCAAAAGGAGATGAATCCACAGCCTCTGCCTTACCGTCTGATCTAACTAATAGTATTTCCAGACCTTTCTGTGGGCTGCACCAGGGGTTGTTCAGAAAGAAAAAAAGTTGTTAATGTCCCACCGTTTCCCGTAGCTTCCGAGGTCTGTGTTGTTCATACCCCAGGTTCCAGGTTGTTCTCCCACTACTTCCACAGAATCAGTGTGTCTCATTCCGGTACCTATAATCTCATCTTTATTCTAGTCGCCCTCTACTTTTTTCTAGACACTTTATCTACTAGAGCCAGGTAAAATAGAGACAAGAATATTTACATAAAACTTAGCTGGAACTAAGTTGGAGTCCCATAACTGCTACTAGGCTGAGATGCAACTCAGAGGATACAAAAGCCAGGCTTGCCTAGAATTGCAGTTATGGGAAAGAAAGTCACATTTCACCCAGGAATTATTAGCACGAAATTCCAAGTTTGTGAAATAGATTCCTAGATGATTCCTAGATCCCCCAAACATTTCATCCTTATCTTGGAGGCAATCAGGAAGAGAAAATAAACCATACCTAATCAACAAATTATCTAACCAGCATGTGTGGAAAAGGAGGGAACATCATAGAGTTGGCTTGTTTTAGTACGTGTGGTGAAAAATGCCGCGAAGTCAGAGCTCAATTGGTCTCAAAAGCCTAAAAGATGGCACAGATTAGCTTCACGGGACACATGGTATGGATGGTGTCGGCATACTGTTATGCTGAAGATGTCAAGAGTGGTGACTGATATCTCAAGAAGTGGGCCAAAAGTCCACTTCTGGTTACTCTGCTTGGTATGGTCTAGGAATTCTTCAACCATGAGACAAATAGGTCAACTTTCACCAGCAACCCCAAGTCTGGTTTGCAGTATTAGACTCTGCGTTAGACACAGATTTAGGTTCAATCTGCAGCTTGATTGTTGTCACTCTCTAGAAAACAAACCCTTACCATGGACTTCTAGATGAGTGATCCAGTTAGATCAGCATCTGAGATTGTCTCCAGTTTGCAGCCCAAAAGATATTCAGACAGTCTACAGTTTCCATTGTAGATAACCAAACAGATAGAATATGTGCCATTATCCCAAACCCTGAGTTCTGACCTTTGAGAGGAGCAACCACTCATGTCAGGTTCTGTATGGCTGGCACAGGTTAAACAGCCACAGCAGCCCAGTGGACATCATGAGGTTTCACCTTCCCTGACTCATCTATGAACCAGGACCAGTCATATAGGAAACACTCAGTAAATTGGGGGCCCCACAGAGACAGCATCTTTGCTTCAGAGGATAGAAGGAGGCATAAAATTTCAACCAGCTGGGGATGCTCTAGCCCTCTATGGGTGAAACTGAGTTTGTCAGGAGTTCTGCAGCAAGCTCTTAGCTGACTTTCAAATCAGTGTAACCAGTAGTGTGTCACTGAGTCCAAAAGCCCAAAGAACACCTCTGGGAGGAGGCTAGTCCTTTACTAGAGGCTCCAAATGCCAAAATCAAGATTTTCTTGACCTCAGGATGAATTGATCAATGCAAATCTCCCCAAATATTTTCACTAAACCTTAATTGGAAAGTAAGACTCCAGATTTTTTAACTCTCACTAAACATAAATATCTGATTTTTTCACCTGAGATCTATGTATGTGTGTTGGAGCATGCCTTTACCAATCAGCATAAAGTTACATCTCTCCTTGAGCCTCTACTTTCTACTTGTGCAGAGTTTAAAATGCAGAGGTGAGAGCTTAGGGTTTTCTGGGTCTTTTGCTAAGCATGTACCTGACCTTGAGCATCCCCAATTCCCCATTTCCTTCTTGATCCCAAAGACCGTTATCACAGTCTTAATTCCCAGCAGCTTTTCCTCCTAGAGCTTTTTGACATGATTATTCTTAGACCCAACTGATATCCTTCGTTCCTGGTAGACTGCGTAGCTCATTTCCATTTAAATGCTTTTAGAAATATTAAACTATGGATTTAAGATTTATCTGCTTTTTAAATTAAGTAATGCTGCTCTTAGCCTTCCACAGGACTTGAGGGTTATAAAAAAAAAGGAAGAAAATAATTATTTTATACCAATAGTATGAAAAAGAGACTGGGAATGACTATATTAATAGCAGACAAAATAGACTTAAAAACTTAAAAGAGACAATAAGACATTATATAGTCATAGATTGTCCATTTGGCAGGAAGATAGAAATAGTTTAAACCCATACCTAATAATAAAACATTGAGATATAGAAAGCATAACTTGACAGAATTAAAGGGGCAAAAAGGCAGTTCTAAAATAATAGTTGAAGATGTTAATACTCCACTCTGAGTAATGAATAGAAAAATGAGATAGATGATAAATTAGGAAATAGAGTTCTTGAATAACTCAATGAACCAAATTGATCTAACAGATATATACAATATACTCCATCCAACAAAAGAGACTACACACTCTTCTCAAATGCACATGGGGATTTCCCCACGATGGGCTGTGTAGTAGATCTCAAATTAAATCAATAACAGAAGAAACGTTAGAAAGTTTACAAAACTGTATAAATTAAACAACATACCCTTAAACAACAAATAAGTAAAGGAAGAAATCACAGAGGAAGTTGGAACATACTTACAGAGGAAGAAAAATGAAAACAAAACACATCAAAAGTTAAGGGAAACAGCAAAAAGAGTGCTAAGATGTAAAGTTTGCAGCTAAAATGCATTTAAAAAGAACAAAGATTTCAAATAAATAATAACTTTATCACCTAGTAAATTAGAAAAATAACACCAAATTAGATGCAAAGCAAAGAGAAAGAAGAAAATATTAAAGCTTTTAGCAGAGATAAATGCAATGGAGATTATACAAACCACAGAATTCCAAAAAACCAAAAGTTCATTCTCACTTCTTCAAAAAATTAACAATTGGCAAACTTTCAGCTACACACACAAAAAATTAACAGCATATTCACATACTAAAATGAGAAATGAAAGTGGGACATTACTACTAATTCAAAGAATTAAAATGTTTAAAAAACTGTACTGTGAACTATGATAGGATGATAAATTGGAAAACGTAGATAAAGTGGGCAGATTCCTAGGTATACAAGACTTGATTACAAAGAAATACAAAATCTGAATAGATACAAAACTACTAAGGAAATGGAATCAGTAATTAAAAGCCTCTTCATAAAGAAAAGCCCTTATTTTGTTGGCTTCACTAGTGATTTAGATCAAGCATTTATAGAACAAAAATCCTTTCCAAAGTCTACCAAAAGCCTGAAGAGAGCAGTTCCAAACTTATTCCATGAAGCCACCATTAGCTCATACCGAAGCCAGACAAAGATACTACAAAAACCCATAGACTAATATCCCTTATGAACACGGATGCAAAACTAGTCAGCAACATCCTAGCTAACTACATTCAGCAGCATACTAGCAAGATTACAACCCATGACCAAGGGGAGTTTATTATTGGAATGAAAGGAAGTTTTAGCATATGGGTGGTTTCAGTGCAGTGGTGTTTACAAATAATTGATCACAACCAGTATAGATTTCTTTATTCTTTTTCCAGTCTCACTGGTTCACTTAGCTAGCCTTTCTTAACAAAAGTTTAAGCATATGAAAATTAATCAATGCATATGCCACATTGACAAACTTTTTAAAAAGTATTCTCTCATTAATACAGATAACGTATTTTACAAAATTCAAAATATTTTATAATAAAAACAATAAATTAGGAATAAAAGGAAACCAGCTTTGTAAAATTCACATATAAAAACCCACAGCAAACAACATATTCCAGAGGAAAAGATCAAAAGTGTTTCCTCTAAGCTCCGAAGACAGAGTGAATATCTGCTCTTGCTAGCCACTTTTATTCAACACTGTATTAGAAGTTTCATTCAGAGAAATTAAAAAAGACAATGAAATAAACTGCATCAAAATGTGTACAGAAAATATATTCTTATATGTAGAAAATCTTTAAGATTCCACCAAAAAATATTACAACTAATAAATTCAGCTGAATAGTAGCATACAAAATCAACATACAAAAACAAACTGCATTTTATGTAGTAACATGAATAATCTGAGAAGAAAACTCTGAAAACAATTCAATTTACAATAGTATCAAAAGAATAAAGTAGTTAGGAAGTAACGAAGAAGTAAAATGCCAATTACTCTTGTGTAGATATTAAAAAATCAATTTTTAAGTTTATGGGGAATCTCAAAGATCTTTAAATTGCAAAAATAATTTTGAAAAAAATACCAAAGTTAGACAAGTCACACTTAATGATTTCAAGACTTACTACAAAATTCCAAAATAGCATGCTACAAAGAGACTAATGGAGTAATATAGAAGGCCCATATAAATAAACCCTCATATATAAGGTCAAATGATTTTTATGGGAAATGAACTGCCTTTACAACAATTAGTGCTGGGGAAATTGGGTGCCCACATGTAAAAGAGTGAAGCTGGGCCCTTAACTTCTACTATAAGAAAAAATTAACTAACTGGATCAAAGACCTAAATGTAAGAGCTAAAACTACAAAATTCTTAGTATAAAATGTAGGTAAAACACGTCATAAGGCTGGATTTCGCAGTGATTTCTTTTAACAGGACACCAAAAATGCAAGAAACAAAAGAAAAATAGATAAAGAGGACTCTATCCAGAATATACAAAGAACAATTCAGCAATAATAAACTACTTGTTTAAAATATGGGCAAAATACTTAAACAGATATTTCTCTAAAAATTATGTGAAGTGGCTTATAAGCCCATGAAAAGGTACTCAACAAAACCTTTTCATTTTCATTAGTAAAATGAAAATCTAACCCCAAATGACATATCACTTAATGCACATCAGCATAACTAGTACAAAAAGAAAAAAAAAACAGAAAATCACAAGTGTTGGTGAGGAAGTGGAGCAGTTAGAACCCTTGTACACTTGGTGGAAATGTAAAATGCTGCAGCTGCTATAAAACAACACCATAGTAACGAAATAATTTACACTCAAAATCACCGTATGATCCAGCAATTTCACATCTTGGTATGTTGCAAAAGATGTGAAAGCGAAGACACAAAATAATACACGTACACCTAAGCTCATAGCAGCATGACTCACATCACTCAAAAGGTTTTTGAATTACCTGTGTTGTTTGAATTATCATCAATGAATAAATAGATAAAATGTGATTTATACATACAGTGGGATATTATTCAGTTATGAAAAATAAGGAAATTCTGACACATGGTACGTCATGCATGAACCTTAAGGACATTGTGCAAAGTGACATGAGCCAGTCATAAAAGGACAAATACTGTATCATTCCACTTATGAGATACTTAGAGTAGTTAAATTCTGGAAACCCACGTAGAAGAGTGGTTCCTAGGAGCTGGAGGGGGAGTAACAGGGAGCTGTTATTTAATGTGTATTGAATTTTGGTTTGGAAGTTGAAAAAAGATCCTTATGAATGGGAATAATAGTTGCAAAACAATGTGAGTGTAGTTAATTTCTCTGAGCTGAACACTTAAAATAGTTAAGATGGTTAATTTTATGTATACTTTGCCAAAATGTAAAAAATATTTTTTAAATAAACAAACTATAGCTATCTGCAATAGCATGAATTAATATCATAAATATAAAGTTGCCTAGAAGAAAGTAGATGTAAAAGTATACATATTATATAATTTCACTTATATAAAATCCAGAAAGTGAACACAACTGAGGTTCTGGTTTCCAGTAATAATGAAGTAGACTAGTTCGTTGAATAACTATTTCACAGATAACAATAATAAAGCTTAATAAAATACTATATTTTGCTATATAGAAAGGCACACTGTTTAGAAGACTGAATGAAGATTTTATCTATGCCACTGTGGAAGAGATAAGGATTGGGGTTTGAATCTATTCAAATTAACTCCCTCTTAAAATAATAATTTTCAAAGAAATACAACAGAATCCAGAGTCCCTGTAGTTCCTATCACACAATTTAAAAATTCATGAGATGTGTGAAGAAGCATGAAAGTGTAATCGATTCACAAGATAAAAAGCAGACAATAGAACCTATTCTCAAGATGTGCAAGATGCTGTAATCAGTAGATAAGATTTGAAAGAAGCTATGGTAAGTACGTTCATGGGGGTAAAAGAAAACAGTCTCATGACAAGTGAACAGAAGCGTAACTGTACATTTCATGCGCGTCCGTGTGAAGAGACCACCAAACAGGCTGTGTGTGAGCAACATGGCTGTTTATTTCACCTGGGTGCACGCGGGCTGCGTCCGAAAAGAGAGTCAGCGAAGGGAGATAAGGGTGGAGCCGTTTTATAGGATTTGGGTAGGTAAAGGAAAATTACAGTCAAAGGGGGTTTGTTCTCTGGCGGGCAGGAGTGGGGGTCGCAAGATGCTCAGTGGGGGTGCTTTTTGAGCCAGGATGAGCCAGGAAAAGGACTCTCACAAGATAATGTCATCAGTTAAGGCAAGGACCGGCCATTTACACTTCTTTTATGGTGGAATGTCATCAGTTAAGGTGGGGCAGGGCATATTCACTTATTTTGTGATTCTTCAGTTACTTCAGGCCATCTGGGCGTATACGTGCAAGTCACGGGGGATGCGATGGCTTGGCTTGGTCTCAGAGGCCTGACATACACTCCCAGTCTTTTGGTCACAGGGCTGTGGGACTGAGGAGGGAAATTAAAGAAAAATAAAATTAAAAAGAAAGAGAAATAAATTTTCTTGTATTGGGCTGACTTGTCCCAGAGGCTTCAACAGGCACAGCCCAGAACCAGGAATAGTCTTGATAATATTATCTAATGTGCTCTGGAGGCTCTCCCAACGCTCCCCCAACATCGGGAAAAGAAAAACAAATTTCCTTTTTTTACGGAATGAGTTTATAGATTCTTGTTCTCTGTAACTAGTGACTTCAAGTATTCTGTTTTATCTAAGAAGTACAATGTAAGTCATGAGAAGCCTGAGTAGGCTGAACTACAGCTGTTTGGGCACCATAGTGAGGGTTATAGGATAAGCCCATGCCCAGGGAAACCTAGAAAATGGACATGTGGGTTGCTTGGCAACGGTCATGTGCAATCCTGTCTGTCCTGCCTCTGTATCCCTGCTTTCACGCCACTGTAAACTTGCTTCAAGCTAGCCCACCACCTTTTGTGAAATGTGCATAAAAGTCAGGTTCTGTCTTTGTTCCGGGCCCAGTCTTTTTGATGTGAGTTAGCTTGTCCTCAGTTTCATGGGGGTCCGTGTGAAGAGACCACCAAACAGGCTTCGTGTAAGCAATAAAAGCTTTTAATCACCTGGGTGCAGGCAGGCTGAGTCCGAAAAGAGAGTCAGCAAACGTAGATAGGGATGGGGCCATTTTATAGGATTTGGGTAGGTAAAGGAAAAAGGGGGATTGTTCTCTGGCGGGCAGGAGTGGGGGGGTCACAAGGTACTCAGTCGGGGAGCTTTTGAGCCAGGATGAGCCAGGAGAAGGAATTTCACAAGACAATGTCATCAGTTAAGGCAGGAACAGGCCATTTTCACTTCTTTTGTGGTGGAATGTCATCAGTTAAAACAAGAACCGGCCATCTGGATGTGTACGTGCAGGTCACAGAAGGTACGATGGCTTAGCTTAGGCTCAGAGGCCTGACACTGAGTGCACTCAATAAAAATTCTCCTGTTTCAACCCGGGGTCTCTCTCATCCTCCTGAATCCCGCAACGGGAGAATTCCAGCATGCACCAGGTTCACGGGACAGTGCGCGGTCACTGAAAGAAGAGTGGGGCGGGGAGGGTGGTGTGCGGCTGTGAGCACCTCTTGTGCTTGCTGGGAGATGTAGTCTTATAAAGACTCCCAGCCCTTTGGTCACAGGGCTGCAGCACCCCAATTCCAGCATACACCGGAATCAGAGACAGTGCGCGCCGGCAGAGGAAGAGGTAGAGCTGTGCGTGACTCGCTGGGCTTGATGGAAAATGTAATCTCATGAACACTCCTTAATGAACAGTGCGCCTCACTGGAGGAAAAGGCGGGGCTGTGCAGGCCTTGCTTTGCTTGCTGAGAGATGCTGTCTCATAAACACTCCCAGCCCTTTGGTCACAGGGCTGCAGGACTACATTCCCATCATGCACCGGGATCAGGGATAGTGCATGTGCCTGGGTGAAGAGACACAGTTTTGCGCGCCTCCTTTGGCTTCCTGGGAGATGTAGTTTCATAAAGACACCCAGACTTTTCATTACAGGGCAGCAGGACTACAATCCCAGTATGCACCAAGATCAAGGATAGTGCGCGTAACTGCAGAATGAGGCGGGATTGTGCACGCCTCGCTGGACTTGGTGGGATATGTATTCTCATAAACATACCCAACCCTTTGGTCATAGGGCGGGAAGACTACAATCCCAGCATGCACCTGGCTAAGAGACAGTGCCTGTCACTGGAGGAAGAGGCGGAAGACTACAATCCCAGCCAGCACCGGGCTCAGGGAAATTGTGCGTCAGTGGAGGAAGAGGCGGGGTTGTGTGCTACTCGCCAGGCTTGCTGGGAGTTGTATTCTCATAAAACCTCCCAGCCCTTTCATCACAGGCCTGAAGGACTACACTTCCAGCCCCAGCATGCACTGGGCTCAGGGACAGCGCGCGTCACTGGAGGAAGAGGGAGGGCTTTGCGCTTCTAGCTGTGATTTTTTGGGAGATGTAGTCTCATTAACGCTCCCAGCCCTTTGGTCACAGAGATCCAGGACTGCAATCCCAACATGCACCCAGCTCAGGGATAGTGCGCTAATCACTGCAGGAAGAGGCAGGGCTGTGTGCACCTCCTGGGCGTACTGGGAGATGTATTCTCATAAACACTCCCATCCCTTTGGTCATAAGGCTGCAGGACTACAATCCTAGCATGCACCCAGCTCAGTGACAGTGCGCTAGTCTAAGGAGAAAGAGGCAGGGCAGTGTGCGCCTTGCTGGGCTTCCTGGGAGATGTAGTCCCATGGCCTCTCCCTGCCCTATGGTCACAGTGCTATAAGACTACAATCCCAGCATGCACGGGGCTCAGGGAGAGTCCACATCACTGCAGAAAGAGGGGCAGGTTGTGCGCACCTCGCTGCGTTTGCTGGGAGATGTTGTTTCATAAAGACTCTCAGACCTTTTGTCACAGGGCTACAGGACTACAATCCCAGGATGCATCGGGATCAAAGCAGTATGCGACACGGGGAAAAGATGCGGAGCTGTGTGCGTCTCCCTAGGTCTTCTGGGAGATGTGGTCTCTTGGCCCTTTGGTCACAGGGCTGCAGGACTACAATGCCAGCATGCAGCGGGTTCATGGACAGTGTGTATCACTGGAGGAAGACGTGGAGCTGTGCGTGCCTCGCTGGGCTTGCAGGGAGATGCAGTCTCATAACTACCCCAGTCGTTTGGTCGCAGGGCTGCAGCAGTACAATTTCAGCATATCTCTGGCTCAGGGAGAGTGCACTAGTCACTGGAGGAAGAGGTAGGTCTGTGCGCACCTCTCTGGGCTTGCTGGGAGAGGTAGTCTCATAAACACTACCAGCCCTTTCATCACATCGCTGTAGGACTACAATTCCAGCATGCACGGGGCGCCGGGGCAGTCCGCCTCACTGGAGGAAGAGAAAGGCGTGTGAGCGCCTTGCTGGGCTTTCTGGGAGATGTTGTCTCTTTATTTCTCCCAGCCCTTTGGTCACAGGGCTTCAGGACTACAATCCCAGCATGCATCCTGCTCAGGGACAACGCGCGTCACTGTAGGAAGAGGTGGACCTGTGCTGTTCTCGCTATGCTTTTTGGGATACGTATTCTCGTAAACACTCCCAGCCCTTTGGTCACTGGGCTGCATCACTACAATCCCAGCATACATCGGGATCAGGGAGAGTGCGCTAATCAGTGGAGAAAGGGGCGAGGCTCTGCACACCTCGCTGGTCTTGCTGGGAGATGCAGTCTCATAAACACTCCCAGCCCTTTGGTCACTGGGCTGCAGCGCTACAATCCTAGCATGGACCGGGCGCAGGGAATGTGCGCGTCACTGGAGGAAGAGGCAGGGTTGTGCACGCCTCTCTGGGCTTGGTGGGAGTTGCAGTCTCATAAACACTCCCAGACCTCTCATCACCGGGCTGCAGGACTACAATCCCAGCATGCACCCGGCTCAGGGAGAGTGCGCATTACTGGAGGAAAAGTCTAGGATGTGGATGCCTCCTTCTGCTTGCTGGGAGATGTAGTTTCATAAAGACTACCAGAACTTGTGTCACAGGGCTGCAGGACTACCATCCCATTATGCACTGGGGTCAGGGACACGGCCCGTCAGTGGAGAAAGAGGCGGGGCTGTGTGCGTCTCCCTCGGCTTGCTGGGAGATGTATTCTTATAAACACTCCCAGCCCTTTGGTCAAAGGGCTACAGGACTACAATCCCAGCATGTGCCAGTCTCGGGGGCGAGGTACAGGCCTGGAAGAAGGGGCCGAGTGGTACACGCCCTACCTAATATGCTGGGAGCTGTAGTCTGTTAACTGCTCTCAGCCTGTTTGTCGGTAGGCTTCAGAACTATAATCACAGCATGTACCGGGACCCGGGGTGCATAGCCCTGGAGGGAGGGGCAGAGCGGTGTGGACTTCCCGGTGTCCAAAGCACTGCTGAGTTCTTATGCTATGCCGACTCTTTGCCAAGGAGAATGAGTACATAGGTGGACCTAGAGGACAGGTCTGCGCTGAGCATTGAGGAGGGTATTACCCTACATAGGCACCTTACCTTTGCCCAAATCGGGCGGGTTGTCCTCAACTGATTGGCCCTATCCTTCTCAAGTTCCTCTTTCAGCTGCACCCAGGGTTCTTCCCAGAGCATTGCGCCTTCTGCAGCCCAGGGCGCTGCCTTCTTTCCTAAACTGCTGTGGAAACTGTCCTGATGTCTGAGACACTGTCCATTGTGCCGCAGCCCTCTTTTTTCTCTAGCCAAGCCTCATGCTCAACAGCTTTTGAGAGAAATCTTCCACGTGGCCTGCTTATGAACAGCTTCAGAATTCTGTAGGGGGTGACAAGGTCTGTGGCTTCCTGGAAATGTCACTGTCAATGGCGCCTTTTTCACGAATGTGAAAGTTGAGGCATCAGGAAGGTTAATTATTGGGTTGCACAAAATCTGCTAAGAGCAAAGGAGAAAACCCCATTTCCGAGGCATGAGTCTTGTGAGCCATTTTCATCAACCCATTTAAGTGGACAAGCTCCAAAATGAAACCTGAAGCTGCTGACTATTTAGGCATTTTACACTTGAAATCATCGGTCTCATCTCAAGTCACTCCTGACTTGCCAGTGTCTCAGAAACACAAATGGGACCGGATCCCTCAGGAGCAGATAGTGTTCCAGCTTTGTTGGAGCGACATTTAAGATGTGGAGCACTTGGGGTCGTTTGAAACCCGCTATCTTCAGTAGGGACTTTTACTTCTAGAGAACATGTGCATTTTGATTTTATCTGTCCTCAAACTGAACTTTTGCTCATTTTAATAGTAAAAACACATTCCTAGGTGGAGACTTAAGATGCTAATGAGACATGCAATGTATGCACAAATATGTACAGTTAGTGCACATGTGCACCCAGAAGACCACTCAAAACATGCTTACACTAACACTTCTTTCCACCTTCTTATGAATAATCGTGCAAAACCCCCAGAAGGAGGGTTTCTCCAGTAACAATTAATGGTGTCTCACTCTTATGAGCAGCCTGCCCTGGAATCTCTTTCTCAGAATGTACCGTCTATTCTGCACTTAATTTTCAAAGTAGTCTTTTCTTTTTTTGTGTGCAATAAATTACTCTATGCTGTACTTCTTTTGCTGTGTGTTTCTTGTTTGAATTCTTTTAAACTAAGAAAATAAGAATCAAGGTATTACATCAGCCATCAACATTTCTTTTGCCATGGCCTGGAGAGAGGTCTGTCCGCTTCACTGATTTCACTTTCCCTTTACTTGCCGTGAATACTGTGGCACTTCCAGACTACCTGGTTAACTATCGCTGGTTCTTCCAGCACTGTTTCACTAAAGTTCTGGGGAAACCCTGTCCCTTTAGGCTTTATGCATTTCCCAGCTCCTTGAAATTGTTCTTCAACAGGCTTTCTTTGCTGAACAAAAGATGCACAGTCATGGATAGGCCCAGTCATAGGGATTGAATCTGAGCATTGCAGGTGTTATAATTGGGCATCATAAATGGCAAACCACTGAATTAGGGAAAGGCTTGTCAGCCAGACATCTGCCCCCCAGCGAGCAGTGGGGGTCATCTCGGCAGGGCTGGAGATGTCCAGCGCTGGTGAGAGCTAGGACGGTGCATGGCAAATGCCTATGACCTCCTAGAGCTTCAGTTAATGGGGTTTCAAGGGGATGAGTTGGACAACTTGGTGGTTCCACTTGGCTCATGGGGCTGCCCACAGCCTCCTGGACTTTAGTACATGTTCTGTCGTTTGCAGGATTCTCTCGGCACCATGGGAATCACTTCCTCTACTGTCACTGAAACACACCTGGGATGTATATTTAAAAATTGAAACAGCTTTTGGCTAAATGAAGCAAAAAAACAATTATCTTCTTTTGTAAAACTATTTAGCCTGCATACAGATTAGCTGACAAAACATGGCTGGAGAATGAGACTGTGAAATTTAACACCATCATACAGCTAGATCTTTTCTGTAGTAATCAGGGAAAATGGTCTGAAGTATCCTATGTGCAAGACTTTCTGGCCCGACAACAAAACCCAGCTCCATGCAGCACCTGTGGGCTAAAGCCTAGTAAGCCACAAAGCCCCTCAGATCCAGTAGAAGATCATTTGTTTTATGGACAAGTGACCCCAGACCCCACAGCCTAATACCAGCTCCAGATAGGGGCCCTCAGAGGCCTACACCTGCTTTAGAATCCCCAGCGTCCCCACACTATCAGAGTCTTCTGTAGAATCTAAGCTTGTTTCACCTCCTCCTTATGCTCCTCTATCAGCCTTTGCCAGTTACAATAGAGACCAGTCCAGCTGCAGTTACTCACAGTGGAGCTTCACACCATGCAGGGCCAGAGAATTTGATCCGCTTACAGAAAGTCTCAAATGGAGAGAGGACCATCAGAGTGCTTCTTCTCTTCCCAGTAAATGATCTAATCCAATGTAAGCAACAGCTCTGATGGCTCTCAGACAACTTCAGCGCGTTTACTGAAGCCTTCCAGTCTCTAACTTTGACCACCATTCAACTTTACCATCCATAAATGGACCCAATGACTGCTGCCAACTCAGCTGCACAAAACTTTTTCTTATTTGCGAAAAATAGAAAAGACTTAAAACTTTTGCTGCTTTCACCATTTTAAAGCAGAATACTTTTGCAGCACAAATGTCACCATAAGGTGGAGCCTTGGGAATCCAGTATAAACTATCTCAGAAAATCTCAGTGTGTCCCCAACAGGCAGCAGAGGGCCTCAATAGACTTCAACAACATCTGGACTCCATGGCCACTGCATTCCAACAAAATCAAAGAGCCTGGGATCTTCTCCCAGCCAAGCAAAGAGGAACATGTTTATATCTAAAAGAAGAATGCTGTTTTTTGAGATCAATCATTCTGGTTTATTCCAAGAAAATATTAATAATATCATCACCCAGGCAGACAAAATTGAATCTCTAGGAACTTCCATGGGAACATGAAAGCAATGTCCATTGCCTGCCTTGCTCTCTTTAATAGTACCCGTCATTATTATATTTTCAACTTCTACTTTTGTTCCAATTTTGTTTAAAATGTTAACTGATTTCCTGCTATGTTGCTTGTGGCAGCTCCATGTTTGCATGATGGTTTGCAAGGCTTTCAATCTTTGGCTGCCAACATCTTCCCACTGGTTCCACGAATGACATGGTTTACACCCTGTTAGATCACACAGGAAGAAACTTTAAGGCCCAGGCTAGGCAGAAGTAACACCCACTCAGCAGGAAACAGCTCCAGAAAAAGTGGTCTAACCCCTCAACCTCCAATATGGTTATTGCCCTAAAATCTCTTAGGGGGAAATTGAGGCAGAATAGATAGTACAGAAAATGACCATGATCTCAGGATACAGAAACCATGGTGACTGTACAGCCAACACAATAAGCCGTAGCATTCGCATTGTAATTGGGCTTATTCGAGCAAAGCTATCCTCATTAAGGACTTTCTGTTCTAGAGAGCATGTGTATTTTGATTTCACCTGCCCTCAAACTTAAATTTTGCTTATTTTAATAGCAAACAATGCACCCCCTAGCCAGGCACGGTGGCTTATACCTCTACTCTCAGCACTTTGGGAGGCTGAGGAAGATGGATCACTTCAAACTAGAAGCTCGAGACTAAACTGGCCAACATAGAGAAACCCCGTCTAAATTAAAAATACAAAAATTAGCAGGGTATGATGGTGCATGCCTGTAATCCCAGATACTCAGGAGGCAGAGGCACGAGCATGGCTTGAACTCAGGAGGCAGAGGTTGCAGTGAGCAGAGATCACACCACTGCACCCCAGCTTGGGCAACACGGCGAGACTCTGTCTCAAACAAACAAACAAACAAACACACAGAAATACACTCCTGGGTGGAAATATAAGATGCTAACGAGACATGCAACATATGAACAAGCATGTACAGCTACTGCGCATATGCACCCAGAATACCACAGAGAACATGTTTACTAGCAACTCCTCTTCCCTCCTCCTTATTAATAATAATGTAAAACTGCCATAAAGGGGTTTCTCCAGCGACAGTCCACGCTGTCTCACTCTTATGAGCAGTCAGCCCTGGAGTATCTCTCTCAGGGTGTACTGTATTCTGCACTTAACTTTCAAATATTTTCTTTTCCAATAAATTATGCTGTACTTTTTTTCTTTGTGTCTCTTGTTTAAATTCTTAAAATCTAGGAAGACAAGAACAGAGGTATCACATCAGTTGTCAACACAGCAATAAGTCAGCCTCCTTCTTGTAAGCATAGCCCATGCAGAAAAGGAGAGTCGCATCACCTCGGTGCTGGATCCAGAGGTATGTCACAATTTATCCCATGCACAAAGTTAAGGTCATTGAGGAGAGTCGTATTAAATAATTTCTGGGCCCAGGGATTTGTCACAACAGCTCCTGTGAGAAGAGATCAGGCAGCATAATCACATAACCGGTGTGCTGGACACAGCGATAAGCCACCTTTCATCTGTGGGCATGACCCAGGCAAGAAAGAAGAGTCACGGCATTTAGGTGCTTGCTGCAGAGGTACGTAACAATCTCTCTTATGGGCAAAGCTCAGGTAAGAGAGAAGAGTCAAATATCCAAGGTGATTCATGTAGAAATTTGTCACAAGAGACTTTTTAGGCAGGGCCCATGTTGGATCTTCTTATCTTCCAGAAGTTAGGTACAGGGATATGTCAGAATACCCAAAATACACAGGGCTCAGTCAATAAAGAAGAGCCACATCACCCAGGTGCTGGGTCTAGACATATGTCACATCTCTTTTATGGGGAAAGCTCAGGTAAAAAAGGAAGGTCATATCAAATAGTTGATAGACCCAGAGATATGTCACATTGCCTCCTGCTTGAAGTGTCTAGGCCAAAGACTCACATCACATTGGTGCTAGGCCTGTGTTCATATATAAACATTCAACCAGAGTTAAAATGGTGGCCCACATCTAAACTCAGCTCATAGGCAAGGGATGAGTCTCCTATCCTGACATAGTTAATTGTAATGATGTTGACTCTCATCCCTGGGCCTAATGCTACAAGTATGATC